>NT_187611.1:0-196688 GCF_000001405.40 Homo sapiens | reverse complement strand
GAATTCATACTCTGACCTCACGAAAGTCCAGGGCTCTCGCCAAGATGCCCAGCTGCTCTTGTCCCTCAAGGGTGGGCCTCCGCCAACACTCACCCCATAACACTCATATGGCCCAGGCTTCCCTCCATGTGCCTGTATCTGCCTTGGGAACCCAGCTGCGCCCTTTCTGGGCAGGAGAGAGGTCACTCCATACCCTCACTCCCTGCCACAGCCTGGTCAGTATCCGAACAAATGTCCGGGAACATGACCTGCTCAGTGGAGCCCCCACTAGGAAGACAAGGTAATGAGAAAAGATCCTGGCCAGGTGCGGTGGCTCACACCTGTCATCCCGGCACTTTGGGAGGCCGAGGCAGGAGAATCACTTGAGGTCGGGAGTTCGAGACCAGCCTGACCAACATGGAGAAACCCCGTCTCTACTAAAAATACAAAATGAGCCGGGCTTGGTGGTGCATGCCTGTAATCCCAGCTGCTTGGGAAGCTGAGGCAGGAGAATTGCCCTGGACTTGTTAAAAGTGCTTCAGATTTTTACTCTTTTGGGATCTTATTCATGTCCCTACTCCATCCCCTGAAAGGCAAGGCAAGACATTTTCTCTCTGTTTTGCTGCTGGAGAAACTCCAGCCCTAGAGAAATAAAGGCCCAAGCCTGGCCTGGAACCTGGGTCCGGGTTCCCTGTCCTGTTTCCCGTGCTGCCTGCCAAGGAGGGGCGGGGAATGCTGACCACGCCCTCCCCGCCTGCCTACTGACCTCCTCCGGGGGGCTGGCAGGGTTCTGGCAGCTGCTGTGCCCGAGGAGGGCTCCAATGCAGAGGAGTAGCACCAGGGCCTGCATCCTGGGGCCTGCAAGAAAAGAACGAGGCAGCAAGCCGCTCTCCCCCGACACTGCACTGCCCCGCTACCCCTTCCTGGCCACCCCAGCCAGGACCCAGGGGTTGGGCAGGGCTAGTCACTTTCCCCCACCCCCTGCAGCGACCACCCCTCACCCCTCCAGGCCCCCAGAAGTGGACCCTCAGCTTGATGGCCCATCCCTCCCAGCAAGGTTCTCCCGCCCCTCCCCCTGCCTCAGGGCCCACAGTCATACCATAAGCTTGTGCTTTTGTTCCACTGTCTGCGTCAGGGGACCCTCCTTTAAGCCTAAAGCTTTTATTTATTTATTTATTTATTTATTTATTTATATTTTATTTTTTGAAACAGAGTCTGGCTCTGTCGCCCAGGCTGGAGTACAGTGGAGCGATCTTGGCTCACTGCAACCTCCGCCTCCTGGGTTCAAGCGATTCTCCCGCCTCAGCCTCCCAAGTAGCTGGAATTACAGGCACCTGCCACCATGCCCGGCTAATTTTTTGTATTTTAATAGCGATGGGGTTTCACCACGTTCATCAGGCTTGTCTCAAACTCCTGACCTCAGGCTATCCACCTGCTTCAGCCTCCCAAAGTGCTAGGGTTATAGGTGTGAGCCATTACACCTGGCCCCTGAACCAATAGCTTTTAAAGATCCAGAGCAGTGGGGCCCCAGCCCCAGCAGGGCTTCTCCACGTGGAGTATGGCCCAGCACAAGTGTATGCTAAAGCTTTGTCCTGGAGGCAGCTGACCCACTCCGGTGATAAGACTTTGGGCAACCCCTCCCAGGAGAATGGGGCAGAACCCAGGTCTCCTCCATGGAATCACCGGATACCAAGCATAGAGGCACCCAGTCCGGCACGTGCTGTCCCTCCAAATTCTCAAGCTGTCTTTGGACTTCTGTGGCCTCACAAGGCAGCTCATTCCCTTCTCCCACAGTTCCCTTTCAAGAGCTCTTCCTCCCATGGTTAGGAGTGCAGGGCCTAGGGTCAGAGATCCTGGGTTCACATTTGAAATTTTTTTTTTTTTTTTTTTTTGGGAGACAAGATCTTGCTGTGCTGCCCAGGCTGGAGTGTAGTGGCTATTCACTACACAACCATAGCACTCCACAGCCTGGAACTCCTGACCTCATGTGATCCTCCTGCCTCAGCCTCGTGAGTAGCTGGGACTGCAGGCGCATGCCATCACACATGGTCTCAGTGCTGTGTCTTAGTAGCTCTTTAAATCACCATTTTTTCTCTTGTAAAATGGAAATAAAATAACCTACTATTAAAATAAAACAACTACCGAGCACAGTGGCTCATGCCTGTAATCCCAGCACTTTGGGAGGCTGAGGCAGGCGGATAGCCTGAGGTCAGGAGTTCGAGACCAGCCTGGCCAACATGGTGAAACCCCATCTATACTAAAAATACAAAAAGTAGCCAGGCGTGGTGGCAGGCCCCTGTAATCCCAGTTACTCAGGAGGCTGAGGCAGGAGAATCACTTGAACCTGGGAGGCAGAGGTTGCAGTGAGCCGATTATGCCACTGCACTCCAGCCTGGGCAACAGAGCAAGACTTAGTCTCAAAAATAAATAAATAAAATAAAATAAAATAAAATAGCCAGGCATGGTGGCACACACCTGTAGTCCCAGCTACTTGGAGGGCTAAGGCTGGAGAATCACTTGAACTTGGGAGGTGGAGGTTGCAGTGAGCCAAGATCGCACCACTGCACTCCAGCCTGGGCAACAAGAGTGAAAACTCCATCTCAAAAAAAAAAAAAAAGGCCAGGCGCAGTGGCTCAAACCTGTAATCCCAGCACTTTGAGAGGCCGAGGCGGGTAGATCACCTGAGGTCAGGAGTTTGAGACCATCCTGGCCAACATGGAGAAACCCCATCTCTACTAAAAATACAAAAATTAGCCGGGTGTGGTGGCGCATGCCTGTAATCCCAGCTACTTGGGAGGCTAAGGCAGGAGAATCACTTGAATCCAGGAAGTGGAGGTTGCAGTGAGCTGAGATCGCGCCACTGCACTCCAGGCTGGGCAACAGAGCAAGACTCCATCTCAAAAAAAAAAAAAAAAGGAAAAAAAAATGTAGAATCTGAACAGCGTTGTCTCCCCTGCCCTGGCCCCCAACACATCATCCTTCATTATCCATTTATATACACAAACATCCACCCACACAGCACACACACTTTTTGACTTCCCAGAACAAAGTGGATCAGAAAATTTGGGAGGACGTTGTGTGATTGTTGGCTCTCGTCCTTCAAATTAAATCAGATAATCCACTGGACAATATCGTGAGGCATGAAAGAAGATTGCCTTTGAGTTTACTCAGCTTAAGGCAGGACGGGCAGCAGGAAGCAGCCTGGTTTTCTTTCTAAACCCCGCCTCGAGCCGCAGACCTCTGCGTTCCCAGCCAGCTGCTCTTGCACGTGGCTGCCCTGACATGCAGGGAGAAAACTTTCGTGTAGACAACAGGAAAAGCTTTCTGCAGCGCAAGACAGAGGCCTCACCACCATCCAGGCCTACAGCTGGTCTCCACCCGGCTGGGGCCAGCCCCACCCAGCTGCCAGGAGCCTGCCTCCCCTGAGCCTCTGCAGACTGGTTTATTAGAGACCAAAAATTCAGTGAGGTACACAGGAGGCAAGGCTAGAAGAGAAGTTGTTAGTTCTAGTTCCTCTGGCCCAAGTAAGAAATTAAGGGAGGAGACAGGCTCATCCCGGCATAGTTTTTTTTGTTTTTGAGACAGAGTTTCACTCTTGTCGCCCAGGCTAAAGTGCAGTGGCGCGATCTCAGCTCAGTGCAACTTCCACCTCCCGGGTTCAAGCAATTCTCCTGCCTCAGTCTCCTGAGTAGCTGGGATTACAGGTGCCCGCCACCACACCTGGTTAATTTTTATGTTTTAGTAGAGATGGGGTTTCACCGTGTTGGCCAGGCTGGCCTGGAATCCTGATCTCAGGTGATCCACCAGCATCCCAAAGTGCCAGGAGTACAGGCGTGAGCCACCATCCCTGGCCATTATCCTGGCATAGTATTTAAGGAAACTAAAGTCACAATTCAAATGGACTTGAAGGAGCGACTTTAGTCTTGGTGCCTACAGAATCTAAGCCCAAACCCCAGATCAGGTGGTAGATGATTGTCACAATGTGGGTAGGCTGAGGTGAGGTGAGGGAGCCTGGCAGGGAAGGGACATGGGTCCAAAGGTGGCCCCGAGCTAGACACAGGGACCCAGAGTATTAACGGCAAGTCTGAATCCTCCACTTCAAGCCATCTGGATAAGGGAAGAGGAGAGATGATTGAAAACCCTACAAGGGCAGTGAGAGGGCAAGCGTGGGGGTCTGCATGGACGCCCCTCAGCACACACGCAATACCCTGTCCACAGTGGTTGCTCATGGGCTGAGCAGGCGACCGCTGGCTGGCTGCAGCCACAGACAATGATGCCATCCTGTCCAAAGGGCAGTATCCAAGCCCCGCTCTCGTCCTAGCAGGCGGGGGAGGGCTCAGGGAGAGGTAGATACCCTCCCTGCTGGGCCAAGGTCAGGCCTTATTTTCTGACAATTGCCCACATCAAGAAACACAGAAGCTTTTGTGATCTTGCCTCCACGTGAGGCGGATCAACTCAAGCCAATACATGTGTTTCAGATTAAGCCCAGTTAGGAGACAAACAGCCTCCACCGCCACCTCCCCCTCTTCCCAGAACCGCACAGCCTTCAGCCACATGGCAGTGGGCCTCGGAGATAGCATGGGGAAGGGCACCTCCCCCTCCCCTGGCTCTCCGGAGGGGATTGAGGGGTCCTCTCTGGCCCACCCATGGTGACCCAGCCCCAAACAATGTTTCCTGAAGCTTTAGAAGCTGAATGAGTCAGCCCAGGGTGCCGTGGAGTTGCACTTCCCCACACCCCAGAAGCAGCAGCCCCAAGAATAGGACTCCCTGCCCTCCAACCCCACGGAACCTGGGGGCTAACGTTGGGTTAGCTAACACCGGGTGGGGGGCCTAGGCTGGACAGGGGCGGGGTTTCTGGGAATCCTGCTGAGACCTACCCCTCCCAGTGGCTTGGCAGGCAGCAGAAAGGGTTCATCTCGGACGGCCCTTGTCTCCAGCACTGGCAGCTGGGCCCCCATGCCCTATACACCTGCCGGCCTAAATAGTGGTCATTGTTTGCCGGAGGCCACAACCTCATTGGTCGCCCAGCCTTGACTCACGTAGCCAAAGAGAGTGGGTGGGGGCTGGCTAGAAGGACCCAGCTGTCCTCCATCCCAGCCCTCAGCCAGGGCGCCGAGGCCAGCGGTTTGGTGGTGCTGGGAAATTGCCTTAACAGTCAGCACCAGCTGATTTTGAAAAAGTAGCAGGGAGCCGAGGGAGCAGGGGCCAGGGCTGGGCTGCAGGGCGGCCGCCTTCCTGACTGCCCTTGGTGGAAGCAGCTCCCGTGAGCCTCCTTGCCTCGGGCTCCAGTCTTGGGGTGCTGCTCAGACCCGACCCAGCAGCTTAGCTCCCCTTTCCTCCCCATGACCGCCCCTCCGCTGTTTCCCACTCACTTCATTCAAAAGCCTTTCCAGCCTCTTCCGTCGGTGCAGTGGGATTTGGGGATCACTGGGTCCTGGCCTTCGGCCTTGTCCCCCCAGCTCCCTCTGCCCTCTCTCATCCACTCACCCTTTTGCCCAAATTGCAGGGGCTGCTGTCTCCGCATTTCCTCTCCCTTGCACCCCTCTTTTCTGCTCCCTGGAGTGCCCCTGCCTCTCCCCTGTCCCCCCAGCCCAGGGGAGCCTCTCCCGCCGTCCCTGGCATCAGAGCAGCCAGGGAGCTGCTTTACCTGTGGATACGCTGCAGCTCCACACCCAGCCTAGTCCCTCTAAGCCTGCACACTGAGGGGGCTCCAGCCAGCACAGAGCTTTTTTTGCTGCCTTCTAATCCAGCGTCCAGCAGGCTTCAGATTACAGCTACTCCTTTCTTAAAGCGACCTGCACTCAATTTGGATTCTGTGATTGCATCACTGTCTCGTGTTAACTTTAACCCACTGCTGCACCACCATCCATTACGCCTAAGGCGCACACATTTGCACACCTTCCTCTTCCTTTAGATTTTCCTTCAGGGGCCGGGCGCAGGGGCTAACGCCTGTAATCCAGCACTTTGGGAGACTGAGGCAGGTGCATCACCTGAGGTCAGGAGTTCAAGACCAGCCTGGCCAACGTGGTGAAACCCCATCTCACCTAAAAATGCAAACAAAGCTGGGCGCAGTGGCTCACGCTTGTTATCCCAGCACTTTGGGAGACCGAGGCCGGGGGATCACCTGAGGTCAGGAGTTCGAGACCAGCCTAGCCAACACGGTGAAACCCCATCTCTACTAAAAATACAAACAAAATTACCCAGGTGTGTTGGCGCGCACCTGTAGTCCCAGCTACTTGGGAGTCTGAGGCAGGAGAATCACTTAAACCTGGGAGGCGGAGGTTGCAGTGAGCTGAGATCACACCACTGCACTCCATCCTGGGCGACAGAGCGAGACCCCGTCTCAAAAAAAGAAAAAAGAAAAAAAGATAGAAAAATTTCTCAATATAGTGACAACCTTATATTTCCGCCTCAGTTCTTTCCCGTCACCATAACCACCATCTTGAATTTGATTTTTATTATTTTCGTACATTTCTTTTTACTTTTACCATGTAAGTTTTTGTCCCTAAGTGATATATAGTATCAGTTTGCATGTTCTTAAACCTTAGGTCAATGTATCACACTGTTCTTTTTTTTTTTTTTCCAATGGAGACTCACTCTGTCACCCAGGCTGGAGTGCAGGGGTGCAATGTCGGCTCACTGCAACCTCCGCTTCCCGGGTTCAAGAGGTTCTCCTGCCTCACCCTGCTGAGTAGTTGGGACTATAGGTGTGCACGAGCATGCCCGGCTAATTTTTGTATTTTTAGTAGAGACAGGGTTTCACCACATTGGTCACGCTTGTCTCAAACTCCTGACCTCAGGTGATCCCGCCCCCCTCAGCCTCCCAAAGTGCTGGGATTACAGGCGTGAGCCACCGTGCCCGGCCATTGTCTTTTCATGTTTATGGCAGGGGTGTCCAATCTTTTGGCTCCCCTGAGACACATTGGAAGAAGAATTGTCTTGGGCCCCACGTAAAATATGCTAACATTAATGATACCGAATGAGCTAAAAAAACAAAAAACAAAACAAAACAAAATCTCAAAAAAAATCTCATAATGTTTTAGGAAAGTTTACGAATTTGTGTTGGGCTGCAGTCAAAGCTTTTCTGGGCCACATGCAGCCTGTGGGTCATGGGTTACACAAGCTTGTTTTAAAACAAGTTTTTAATTTTAACACCAACATTTTCAATCTTTTCTTTTATAATTTGTGCTTCTTTTGGTATCTTTTTTAAAAAATCTCTTCTTCCCCGAGATCACGAAGGGATTCATCTATACTTTCTTCTAAAACGTTTACAATTTTAGGCCGGGTGTGGTGGCTCATGCCTGTAATCCTAACTATCGGGAGGCTGAGGTGGGTGGATCACCTGAGGTCAGGAGTTTGAGACCATCCTGGCCAACATGGTGAAACCCTGTCTCTACTAAAAAAAATAAAAATAATAAAATATTTACAGTTTTGTCTATTGTATATGTGTTTGTATTAGCTTTTGTTTTGTTTTTTTGTTTGTTTTGTTTTGTTTTGTTTGAGATGGAACCTTGCTCTGTGGCCCAGGCTGGAGTACAGTGGCACAATCTCGGCTCACTGCAACCTCTGCCTCCCAGGTTCAAGCGATTCTCCTGCCTCAGCCTCCTGAGTAGCTGGGATTACAGGAGCACGCCACCACGCCCGGCTAATTTTTGTTTTTGTTTTTGTTTTTGTGTTTTGGTACAGACAGGGTTTCACCATATTGGCCAGGCTGGTCTTGAACTCCTGACCTTAGGTGATCACCTGCCTCGGCCTCCCAAAGTGCTGGGATTACAGGAGTGAGCCACCATACCTGGCCTGTATTTGCTTTTTAAAGCAGAATACTATTTCCAAAAGGATACAAAAAAGAGATGAAAAACACTGCATCCCAAGAGTAGAATCCAGTGACTGGAAATCAGAATGAGAGGAAGGCTTTTCACTGGGTGCTTTTTGTTGCTTTTGAGTTGTGAACCACGTGAACAAAATACCTATTCACAAATAAGCAAATCATTTAAATAAGTCCTTAGTAAAGTTTCTGGGCCAGGTGTGGTGACTCATGGCTATAATCCCAGCACACTTGAGCCCAGGAGTTGGAGACCAGCCTGGGTGACGTGGTGAAAAATGCTTGCCTCTATAAAAAATAATAATAAATAAAAATCTTAAAATCATAAATTATACAGAAGAGTTCTCTTTTGTCCGACCCCTGTTAGAAGAATGTGTCCTCTCCTGCAGGGTCAGCGTGTCCGGCCCTCAAAGATCCTTCCCCACCTTCTTTTTTTTTTGAGACGGAGTCTCACTCTGTCCCCCAGGCTGGAGTACAGAGGTACCATCTCGGCTCACTGCCACCTCCACCTCCAGGATTCCAGTGATTCTCCTGCCTCAGCCTCCTGACTGGCTGGGATTACAGGCACGTGCCACCACTCCCGGCTAATTTTTGTAGTTTTAGTAGAGATGGGGTTTCACCATGTTGGCTAGGCTGGTCTCAAACTCCTGACCTCAAGTGATCTGCCCACCTCTGCCTCCCAAAGTGCTGGGATTACAGGCACGAGCCACCGTGCCCAGCTAATTTTTTGTATTTTTAGTAGAGACGGGGTTTCATCGTGTTAGCCAGGCTGGTCTCGAACTCCTGACCTCAAGTGATCTGCCTGCCTCGGCCTCCCAAAGTGCTGGGACTACAGGCGTGAGCCACCGTGCCCGGCCCCCGACTTCTTTAAAAGACACTTCCTTGACGCTACATCCCCTAAAGCCACTGCCCATTTCTCGGTGCTCGCTCAGAGCCGCTCTGGAAGGAGCAGTTTCCTCTTTTGTCTACGCTGCCTCGGCTCCCATTTCAATTCTAGACTTGTGTCTGTGGCCACTTCTCCACTGAAATTCCTGTCACCAAGTTCATGGGTGACCTTATGTCAACTGGCAGTGGACACCTCCGTCCTTGGCAGGAGGCAGTAGACAGTTCCTCCTCCTTGAAACCCTCACTGTCCACACTCTTCCCTTTTTCTGCCACCTCACACACCTTACCTTTTCTGCCTTCTCTGCTGGCTTGATCCTGAGACCCCTTTTCTTCTACATCTCCCCTTAGGCAATTTCCATCAATTCCATGACTTTTTTTTGTTTATTTTTGAGACGGAGTCTCGCTCATGTCGCCCAGGCTGGAGTGCAGTGGCGCGATCTTGGCTCACTACAACCTCTGCCTCCCAGGTTCAATCAATTCTCCTGTCTCAGCCTCCCTGAGTAGCTGGGACTACAGGCAGGCACCACCACACCTGCCTAATTTTTGTATTTTTAGTAGAGACGGGGTTTCACCGTGTTGGCCCGGATGGTCTCGATCTCCTGACCTTATGATCCGCCTGCCTCGGCCTCCCAAAGTGCTGGGATTATAGGCATGAGCCACCGTGCCCGGCCCAGTTCCATGACATGAAGCACATCTGCATACCCCCAAATAGACAATTCTATCCCTGATCAAATATTCAATTGCCTGCTTGACATTAAAGATGAATAGATGCCAAGCACAGTGGCTCATGCCTATAATCCCAACATTTGGGAGGCCAAGGCAGGAAGGTTGCTTGAGCCCAGGATGTCAAGGCTGCCGCGAACTGTGATCGCACCACGGCACTCCATCCAGCCTGGGCGACAGAGCAAGACCGTGTCTCTTGGCTGGGCGCGGTGGCTCATGCCTGTAATCCCAGCACTTTGGGAGGCCGAGGTGGGCGGATCACGAGGTCAGGAGATCGAGACCATCCTGGCTAACACGGTGAAACCCCGTCTCCACTAAAAATACAAAAAAATAGCCGGGCGAGGTGGCGGGCACCTGTAGTCCCAGCTGCTAGGGAGGCTGAGGCAGGAGAATGGCATGAACCCCGGGGGGCAGAGCCTGCAGTGAGCCGAGATCGCACCACTGCACTCCAGCCTGGGCGACAGCAAGACTCCGTCTCAAAAATAAAAAAAAATAAAAATAATAAAGACATTGTCTCTTAAAAAACAACAAAAAACAAAACAAAAAAGAAAACCCGCTATGTTAGGGGAAGTCAGAAGAGTTCTGTTTCTTGAGCTGAACCACTATGTTACTGGCAGTCAGGAGGAGGGAGAAGGGTTCGTCTCTTGAGCTGGTGATGGTTGCACAGCGGTATTTGGTTCATGGAAACATTCATTAAGCTTACATATAGTTAAGACTTGTGTACTTTGCATATTATATTTCAACTACAAATTGTAAAGGAAAACACACTTCAGCAGCTTCCCTTCATACTTGGAATAAAATCCAAACCCTTGCTCTGGTCTGCAAGGACCCTCGTGATCTGGCCCCGCCTGTGTCTCCAGCTCCATCTTCCTGGTTTTCTCTGACTTTGTCACACTCTGGTCACACTGGCCATCTTTCTGCTTCTCCAGTGATCCAAGCCCTTTCCTGCCCCAAAGGCCTTTGCCCGGGCTGCTGCCTCTTCCCCTGTTTCTGAACGGTCAGGTCTTCATACCGTCTATCTCTCAGCTAAATGTCCCCTGGGAAAGGCCACCCTGAGTTACTCAGTATCCCAAAAGCTCTCCAATTTCCTTCATAGTACGTCTCCTTCTGTTTTCTGTATCTGGTCCTTTTTTTTATTTTTATTCTTTTTTTTGAGGCAGAGTCTTGCTCTGTCGCCCAGGCTGGAGTGCAGTGGCGTGATCTCGGTTCACTGCAACCTCTGCCTCCTGGGGTCAAGCAATTATCCTGCCTCAGCCTCCTGAGTAGCTGAGACTACAGGCGCCCGCCACTGCACCCAGCTAATTTTTGTATTTTTCAGTAGAGACGGGGTTTCACCATTTTGGCCAGGCTGGTCTTGAACTCCTGACCTCATGATCCACCCACCTCGGCCTCCCAAAGTGCTGGGATTACAGGCGTGAGCCACCGCGCCCGGCCTGGTCCTTTTTTTTTTCTTCAGGCGGAGTCTTGCTCTGTCGCCCAGGCTGGAGTGCAGCGTCTACCTGTTCGTTGCTGCATCCCCAGGGCTTGGTATTCTGCTGGGTTCATGGGAGGTGCTGAAGAGGTACCTGCTGGGTGGAGGTTACAGTGAAGGCAGCCAGACCAGAGACAGGGAGAGCCTAGCAGGCAATGTCAGGGATCCCAGGAAGTGAAGACGAGGCCCAGACTGGGGCACTGGGAGCTGCAGTGGAGAGGAGGGGAACGCTGAGAAAGACTTGACAAGTGCTGCAGGGCATAGTGGCTCACACCACTCTGGGAGGCCGAGGCGGGCGGATCACCTGAGGTCAGGAGTTCGAGACCAGCCTGACCAACATGGCAAAACCCGGTCTCTACTAAAATACAAAAATTAGCAGTGCGTGGTGGCGCATGCCTGTAATCCCAGCTACTCGGGAGGCTGAGGCAGGAGAATTGCTTGGACCCGGGAGGCAGAGGTTGCAGTGAGCCGAGGTCGCACCGCTGCACTCCAGCCTGGGCTACAGAGCGAGACTCTTTCAAAAAAATAAAAAGGACACACTTGACAAGACAAAAAACACTGTGTTTATCGTGTCCCTAGAGCCTAAAGGATCTGTCCTGAGCTCCTCTCTGACTCCTACTCCTCCTCCCACTCACTCTCTCCACTCCAGCCCCACCGTCCCCTACTTGTCTTGAGCTCCTCGGCAGGACCTCTGCACATGCCGTTCCTCGGCCAGGCCACGCTTCGCCGGGACCTCCATAGTGCCCTCCTTCTTCCCCTTCAAGGCCGTGCTCTCGTGTCACCTTCTCACAAGGCTTTTCCTCCCAGCCCCGCCCCCTCCCCCACTTCACTTTCACCATTGCTCTCCGGCAGCTCATCCTCGGACAGACCATGTATTTCCCTTTGTTGATTTACTATCTCTCTCTCCACACGGCTCGTTTGCAAGAAGCAAGACTCCATGCCAGGCCTCTCTGACTTCCAGGGGCTTGCTCTTAACCGCTGCACATTAGGGCTCCAGGTGGCCGCTGCCACGTGGACCCCCTGCACCTCCAGCAGGGAAGCGTGCCCACCCACATGGTCACCCACGCTGCCCCAGCTCCTGGGCTCTGGCACAGAGGAAGGTGTCAGCCCTGTGCCAAGGTTTCCCCACCTGCTTCCCCCAAATCCTCAGGCACTGACTGTCTCCAGCTGGAGCTGGGTACTCCCGGCAGCCTGCCCCCGGCTGGCGGGCACCAGCTCCTGGCAGAGGGGCTGGTGTGTAATTAGAAGCTCCACAAACTCCCTAATTGCCAGTTCTTCTCCCAAACCAGGAGGCTGGCGCTGTTCTGAGCCGCCCTGTTGCCGGCTGCCTGAGGCATAGAGAGAAGAAGAAGCCAGGAGCAGAGCCAGGCTGGCGTGGAGGTGTCCCGGGGGAGGGCTGGCGAGGTCAGAGGGGACCACGGGGTGGAGGATGCCTGGCGAGCGGCCAGAGGCCAAACGTGGCACTGCGCGGGCTGCCACCCCTGCTGGGCCCAGGGTTCCTCAGCACAGTCCACCCTGCGGCCGCCTCCCTGCCTTCCCCACCATCCTCACTTGTCCCCACCCATGCCCAGAACGGTGACATCAAACCAGCCAGGCCCATTCATTCTTTATTCAGGTGGCATAAAAATCACTACAAAAACCTTACAAAAGAGCCTTAAGGAGCTCATGGGATCCTTCCCTGCCTCGGTTCCTGAGCTCCCGGGCAGAGGAGGGAGACAGGAGAGGAAGGAAGGGAAATGCTGGCAGTGTTGGGATCTCGAGGAGCCGTGGGAAGTCTGGCGTGACAAGGCACAGGGGGTAGGATGGAGGCTGATGGACTCTCGGCAGGTTAGGCCACAGCCAGGCTGTGCCAGACACGAGTTCCACGCGGGGCTGAGGACAACGCTTCGCCTCCCGAGCCACCACCAGGGCCCGTCTCTCCCCACCCTAGCCTAGGTGTCCCGGGACAAGTCCAAAGGCAGCCCTCTCCCCCTCCCTTTTTCTCTGGTAAACAAAAGTCGGGGTGTCCCAGCTGACGTGGGGAGCAGCTAACCTGTCTCCTGGCAGAACTAGAAGCACCTCCCTCCTGCCCAGGCCCCGGTGCAGGACACCCTCTGAGCCTGTTTGGAAGAAAGATGAGGGTCAGGCTCCCGGCTCCCCGATGCCTGCCCTCCTCCCAGCCGCGCCCCCCCCCCACCCTAAACTCCCCAAGAGGTGTTGGGAAAGAATGGCCTCTCTCAGACTGCCCCCGGCCCCTGCCCCAGTGCCACAAAGCCGGTTGGAAAGAGTCACATGAGTGGAGAGGCTGGTCCAGGCAGGGACTCTGGATGCCACAGCCACGGCCCCTCACTTGGGGCTGCCAAACTGGGGGTAATCCTCCTCCATGGGGGGCACAAGTTTTAAGTCAGGGCCGAAAAGCTTGTCTCCGCGGGGGAAGCCTTTCAGGCTCTGGAGGAAGTCCTTGTTGCCCGGGGAATCCTGCTGTTCCTTGAGCTCCCGCGGTGCACTGGGGTTGGGGTTCCTCACGCTGCCCACGAAGAGGGGAAGGCCTGTGGTGTCCTCGAAGATGAAGAAGAGGAAGGGGCGGTTCACGCTGAAGGAGGACAGGGACATGCGGGACATGGCAATGCTGGTGGCCGCCGCCGCCTCCACGCCGACCTCGCTGAGCTCCAGGGTGGACTGATGCTGCACGCCGGACACCACCAGGCTCTGCTCGGAGATCCCACGCAGGTCTGGGGCCTGGAACAACTCCTGCAGGCCTGCCCAGGGCCAGAGATGGCTGGTCAGAGCTGCCCTTGGCCTCACAGGCTCCTGGAGCTGCTTGGGAGGGTGTCTGAGATCCTGGCCAGGGAACAGCTTGAACTCACAGATACCTGCTTCATTCCTATCCGGTTTCCAAGACTCAGCTTAAACACCACCTCCTCCAGGAAGCCTTCCCTGATCCCCAGCTCTAAAGTCCAACCAAGGTACATTTTCAGTGTTCTCCCAGGTGAGCTGGAGAGAAGCCCTCTCTGTCTTATCGCTTATGCTGTAGTAAGTATGTGATTGCTCGTCTGCCCACCCCATTAGACTCAGCTGTTTGTACATGGTGGGCTCCCGGTACCTGGTACAGTGCCTGGAATACAGCAGCTGCTTAGCAAATGGCTGAAGGATAGATGCTTTATTTATTTATTTTAGTTATTATAATTTTTTTTTGAGATGGAGTCTCACTCTGTCATCCAGGCTGGAGTACAGTGGCGTGATCTCGGCTCACTGCAACCTCCTCCTCCCAGGTTCAAGCAATTCTCCTGCCTCAGCCTCCCAAGTAGCTGGGATTATGGGCATGCGCCACCACGCCCGGCTAATTTTTGTATTTTTAGTGGAGACGGGTTTGGCCATGTTGGCCAGGCTGGTCTCAAACTCATGACCTCAGGTGATCCACCCTCTTTGGCCTCCCAAAGTGCTAGGATTACAGACGTGAGCCACCATGCCCGGCCTTTATTTTTATTTTTGAGACAAGGTCTTAGTTCTTTTGCTGAGGCTGGAGTGCAGTGGCACAATTATGGCTCACTGCAGCCTCAGCCACCTGGGGTCAAGAGGGCCTCCCACCTCAACCTCCCCAGTAGCATGCACCACACCTGGCTAATTTTTGTATTTTTTGTAGGGACGGAGTTTCAATGTGTTGCACAGGCTGGTGTCGGACTCCCGGGCTCAAGCAATCCACCCACTTCAGCTTCCCAACGTGCTGGGATTACAGGCATGAGCCACTCCACCCAGCATTTCTTTAACAGTGTGACACCCCAGCTTCTCCTCCTTCCCCTTCCAGGGAAGCCAGCGAGGCTCACATGCCATCCCAGGCTCTCTACCCAGACTCTCCTTGCAATGCGAGGTCTTGGGCAGCAAAGCAGAGCCCCATTCCCCGGGCCACCCCAACTTCCTCTAGGACAGAGGGTCTGGGGGCTCATATTCAACCCTCTCCCCGCTCCCGAAGCCCTGGAAAAGAGCAGGACACAGGACAGCTCTGACTCAGCTCCACTGCCAGCCAGACGCTTCCTCCTTACCCGCCCTGCCCAGCCTGACCTCGGGGGCTCGCCCGCACCCTCCTCCTTACCCAGCTGGCTGAGGGTGGCCACCAGGTCCATTTGGTGTTTCAGATACAGCTTAGGCAGCCGGACCTTGGTGGGCCTCTCCCACACCAGAGGTGGGTGCAGGGTGTCCCAACTCAGGTTGGCCAGTACCTGGGACACGTTCCATTCAAAGTGGGTGGGTACAAGGACCACAAAGCTCATGTTGTTCTTAAAGGGGAAATGAGCCACCTACAGAAAAGGGAAGGGAAGAGCATGAGGACAGAAAGCCCCGAAGCTAAGTGGGGGTGGGGCCAGCAGGTGCTCCTAAGGCAGACAATGGGGCTCCTGGCCATCCTGCCAGGCGTGTGACTGACCCCACTGCTCCTCCACTTCCTCACAGTGGGGTGGAGTCATACTACCTGTCCCACTGCAGGCGGACACGTAACCGAATGAGATGCTTTTAAAGTTTCTAGCAGTGTGGCCGGGCATGGGGGCTCACGCCTGTAATCCTAGCACTTTGGGAGGCCGAGGCAGGCAGATCACCTGAGGTCAGGAGTTCAAGACCAGCCTGACCAACATGGCAAAACCTCATCTCTACTAAAAATACAAAAATGAGCTGGGCTTCTGTGGTGACGGGCGCTTGTAATCGCAGCAACTCGGGAGGCTGAGGCAGGAGAATTGCTTGAACCCGGGAGGCAGAGGTTGCCATGAGCCAAGATCAAGCCACTGCACTCCAGCCTGGGGGACAGGAGTAAAAATCCGTCTCAAAAAAAGAAAAAAAACAACATTGTAGCAGTGTCCGCTGTCACAGACGGTGCTCAATAATACCTGGTGGTTTTCTCTCTTCACCGGCTACCAGCTGGCCGTGTGACCCGGCGTAAGGAATCGCCTGTCTTTGTCTCAGCTTCTCCAGATGTACCACAGACAGGGTCACTGGCTGTCATACCACAGCTGGGTTCTGTGGGTGAGCCACTGCCGAGTGCTGCCCGCCCCACCCTCCCACACCTCCCTCTTGTGACTTTGCCAGCTGTGTAAATATATTGTGATTTGGCTTAAGATTTCTTTTTTTTTCTTTTCTTTTGAGTTGGAGTCTCGCACTGTCGCCCAGGCTGGAGTGCAGTGGCGCAATCTCGGCTCACCGCAACCTCCGCCTCGTGGATTCACGCCATTCTTCTGCCTCAGCCTCCCGAGTAGCTGGGATTACAGGTGCCCGCCACTACGCCCGGCTAATTTTTTGTATTTTTAGAAGAGATGGGGTTTCACCGTGTTAGCCAGGATGGTCTCAATCTCCTGACCTCGTGATCCACCTGCCTTGGCCTCCCAAAGTGCTGGGATTACAGGCATGAGCCTGTAAACCACACCCAGCCTCTTTTTTTTTTTTTTTCAAGACAGAGTTTCACTCTTATTGTCCAGGCTGGAGTGCAGTGGCATGATCTTGGCTCACTGCAACCTCTGCCACCCGGGTTCAAGTGATTCTCCTGCCTCAGCCTCCCGAGTAGCTGGGACTACAGGCGCTCACCATCTCACCTGGCCAATTGATGTATTTTTAGTAGAGACGGGGTTTCACCATGTGGGCCAGGCTGGTCTCAAACTCCAGACCTCAGGTGATCCACCTGCCTCAGCCTCCCACAGTGCTGGGATTACAGGCGTGAGCCACCGTGCCCAGCCATTAAGATTTGATTTGAAGGGATTCTGCAGCAAAAGCAGTGTGGACACCACAGGGCTCGAGGGCCTCCTGCAGCTGTGACTCCTTGGGTTCCAGGCAGAGTACCCGTGTGGAGAACCCCTGCCCGTGGGAGGATAAGCCCCGGGTTCTGGCTGTTTGGGCCTGTCTGCAGAGGGCCTGAGGACAAGAAAGGCTGACGGGGCCTAAGGAAAGGAGACGAAGGATGAAGGAAGAGTACGCAGGACACAGCCTGGAGGAAAGGGGAAGCAGGAAAGGGGAGCCTCGGGGAGGTGGATCAGACTGGCCTTTCAGAATGAGCTGCAGGGAAGCCAGGACGCGTTCCCGGGCCAGCCTCACCCACAGCCCCCTCCCAGGAGGGCTGCCCAAGTGGCTTCTGGCTCCTCCCTGCAGAAGTGGCTGTGCTCTGTGTCACACTTGCCTTGGGAAGCTAACAAATACAGCCATCTCAGCCACAGCTGTCTGGCCCGGGGATCAATACCCAGGCCAAGGGGACCACATTTAGGCTAGAAGCAAGAGAGGCCACACCTGAGACAGCCTGGCACGGAATTTTATCCAATCAGAGCTGGGCGCAGTGGCTCCTGCCTATAATCCCAGCACTTTGGGAGGCCAAGGCGGGCGGATCACTTGAGGTCAGGAGTTTGAGATCAGCCTGGCCAACATGGTGAAACCTGTCTCTACTAAAAAAAAAAAATACAAAAATTGGCCGGGCACGGTGGCTCACACCTGTAATCCCAGCACGTTGGGAGGCTGAGGCAGGCGGATCACGAGGTCAGGAGATTGAGACCATCCTGGCCAATATGGTGAAACCCCGTCTCTACTAAAAATACAAAAATTAGCTGGGCATGGTGGCGGGCGCCTGTAGTCCAAGCTACTCGGGAGGCTGAGGCAGGAGAATCCCTTGAACCCGGGAGGTAGAGATTGCAGTGAACCGAGATTGCACCACTGCACTCCAGTCTGGGCGATAGAGAGAAACTCCGTCTCAAAAACAAACAAACAAACGAACAAAATTAGCCAGGCGTGGTGGTGCATGCCTGTAGTTCCAGCTACTCGAGAGGTTGAGGCAGGAGAGTGGCTTGAACCCAGGAGGCAGAGGCTGCAGTGAGCCGAGATCGTGCCACTGCACTCCAGCCTGGGTGACAGAGCAAGACTCTGTCTCAAAAAAAAAAAAAAGAAGTTTATCCAATCAGAATGTTCCACGCAAGATGCTGAGAAATCCAATCCAATCAGATCCTCCTTTCTAAGGAGCACTGTGTGAGCGCCCCGTGGAATCTCCCAGGCTGGGGGCTGCAGAGACCCTGAGTGGCTACATGGCCGTGGGGTGGTCCCTGTGCTGCCCCAAAGTCCATGGGCCCTTGTAATAAACCCTTATCAACAACGGTCACCTGAGTCTCAATTCAATGCCCCCTCCTCACAGAATTCTCCCTTACCACTCTAAAATGCCTAAATAAGGCCAGGCCTGGTGGCTCATGCCCGTAATCCCAGCACTTAGGGAGGCCGAGGTGGGCAGATGACCTGAGGTCAGGAGTTCAAGGCCAGCCTTTGTTTTTTCTGAGTCGGAGTCTCAATCTGTCTCCCAGGCTGGAGTGCAGTGGTGCGATCTCAGCCCACTGCAGCCTCCGTCTCCCGGGTTCAAGTGATTCTCCTGCCTCAGCCTCCAGAGTATCTGGGATTACAGGCGCCCGCCACCATGGCTGGCTAATTTTTGTATTTTTAGTAGAGACGGGGCTTTGCTATGTTGGTCAGGCTGGTCTCGAACTCCTGACCTCAAAATCACAGCTCACTGCAACCTTTCCCTCCTGGGTTCAAGTGATTCTCCTGCCTCAGCCTCTGGAGTAGCTGGGATTACAGGCACCTGCCACCACGCCTGGCTAATTTTTGTATTTTTAGTAGAAACGGGGTTTCAAATCTTGGCCAGGCTGGTCTCAAACTCCTGACCTTATGATCCACCTGCCTGGGCCACCCAAAGTGCTGGGATTACAGGCGTGAGCCACCGCTCCCGGCCAAAATCACCTTCTTTTTCAGCTTTCCCTCCACAGCGCTTCCCAGCGTCTGGAATTCCTGTGTTGATGTCCATTCACTGTTGCACTGTGTATCCTCCTTCCTAAGAGCAGAGACCTGGCCTCCCTCATGCTCCACAAAAACCCTAGTGCTTAGAACAGTATCTGGAACACAGCAAATGCCCAGTATATTTTCACTGAATTACTAAACCTCAAAGAGCCTGGAGCCTCAGTCCTCCTGCCAGGTAGGATGGGGGATCATGGGACCTTTTGCAGTTGCCTGCCTAGGGGACGTGGAGGCAAGGAAGGCGAGACAGCCTCCACCCATCCCTGTGCCTGCTCCACAGCCTGTCCACTCCCTTCCCCACCTCCCAGCCTCAGGCCCAGCCTGCTGGACAACCAAGGGTGACCTGGATCTCAGGCTGCTCCAGCAAGAACCAGCGCAGCGGGTACGTGCGGGCCTGCATCATTTCCACGGGCACCGTGAACTGCTCGTCCAGGTGGAAGGAGTCTCTCTGGGTAAGGCTCGGGTCAAACTTGTTCCTCCAGAAACCTGAAACCCAGCAGAGGGCAGGGGTCACGTCGACGGGGACCAGCTTGGGGCAGAGGGCAGGGGTCACGTCGATGGGGACCAGCTTGGGCTCTGCACCCCCAGCCCGTTGCCCGTCCCACCCAGAATCCATTCAAGGATGAGACAGCGGTGGAGGCCAAGACCCCAGGGAATGCTAGCTGGCATCCAATTGATCTGAGGTCTCTTTCCCGTAGCATTTTTGAAATCTGGGCTTGTGTTTTCCCCAACCCCTGCAATTCTCCTAGGAACCTCCTCCTGGATCTTTTTTTTTTTTTAGACGGAGTCTCGCTCTGTCGCCCAGGCTGGAGTGCAGTGGCACGACCTCCGCTCACTGCAAGCTCCACCGCCTCCCGGGTTCACGCCATTCTCCTGCGTCAGCCTCCCGAGTAGCTGGGACTACAGGTGCCCGCCACTACGCCCAGCTAATTTTTTTGTATTTTTAGCAGAGACGGGGGTTTCACCGTGTTAGCCAGGATGGTCTCCATCTCCTGACCTCATGATCTGCCCGCCTCGGCCTCCCAAAGTGTTGGGATTACAGGCGTGAGCCACCGCGCCCAGCCCCTCCTGCATCTTTTCAGACCATTTGTTCCCAGGGTATTCACTCTAGAACAACTCATCTGGCTCCTGGGCACCCATCCCCACCACACCCAGACAGCCTCCTGCCTCATGGCCCAGACTGAGGAAGAAAGGAGACCCTCAGAACAAAGCCTGCATGGCCGGGCGCGGTGGCTCACGCCTGTAATCCCAGCACTTTGGGAGGCCGAGGTGGGTGGATCACCTGAGGTCAGGAGTTCAAGGCCAGCCTGGCCAACATGGTGAAACCCTGTCTCTACTAAAATACAAAAATTAGCTGGGTGTGGTGGCAGATGCCTGTAATCCCAGCTACTGGGGAGGCTGAGCCAGGAGAATCGCTTCAATCCGGGAGGCGGAGGTTGCAGGGAGCCGAGATCGCGCCACTGCGCTCCACCCTGGGTGACAGAGCGAGACTTGTCTCAAAAAACAAAAAGGCCTGCACGTCCCAGCTCAGCCTACAGGGTGGGGGATCTGAGAGGAGGAGGAGCGCACCCTGGAAGTGGATGGCGTTGAGGAGAAGCAACACGGTGTCTTCCGGCAGCCCAGAGAGGAATTCCTGAATCTTCCCCTCCGTGGCCTCCTTCACCCATTGGTTGATGTTTGCCAGGTCATCTTCCTGCTTTCCCGTCAGGCTCACGGGCTTTGCCCCAAATAGCTGTTCGGATTGTTCCAGGAAATCTTCTTTGATGGGAAATCCTGCACGGAGGCAGCACAAGCTGTTCCCAGGGCTCCAGGCTCCACAGCCAGACACGCCCCTACTCGCTACCAGAGGCCCAGCCCCTTGCTCTCACCCTCCTCCACCCAGGGCAGGACTGAGGGAGCTCCCTGCCATCAGCGCCTACCTTTCTGCAGGTACATCCTGGCAGCCAGTCGGAACGCGCCGGGGCCCAGGTCCTGGCAGAGGCGGCTCAGCAGATGGGGGAGGCAGGGCCCTGAGCCTGCGTGCAGCACCTGTTGCAGCCTCTGCAACGTGTGGTTCTGAGCACCTGGAGGGCACCGCACAGGCTGAGGCCCGGCTGCGGGTCCTTTCTCACCCCCACTGCCCACTCCAGTCCCTCCTGGATACCCGTGACGAGGACGTCCACGGGACCACACGCCATCCTTCCACAGCCACGGATCTGTTCTGCGTGACTCTCACCCCTGTGGCTGACAGGCTGGGTGACCTCACCCCCCGCAAGTTACCTTCCCTCTCTGGGCTTCCGTTTCCCACAGTGAGACCCTCCAGCACAGTGGGAAAGAGTGTAGCTAGCAAACTCTTGCATAAGAATCACCAGGAGGGGCCGGGCGCGGTGGCTCACGCCTGTAATCCCAGCACTTTGGGAGGCTGAGGCAGGTTGATCACCTTAGGTCGAGAGTTCGAGACCACCCTGGCCAACATGGTGAAACCCCGTCTCTACTAAAAATACAAAAATCAGCTGTGCATGGTGGCTGGTGCCTGTGATCCCAGCTATTTGGGAGGCTGAGGCAGGAGAATTGCTTGAACCTGGGAGACAGAGGTTGCAGTGAGCTGAGATCACACCACTGCACTCTAGCCTGGGTGACAGAGCAAGACTCTGTCTCAAAAAAAAAAAAAAAATCACCAGGAGGACTTGTAAATAAGCAGATTCCCCGGCCCAGTCCCTGAGATCTGATTCACATAGACAGATGGGTGGGGGCCCAGGAATCTGCATTTGTTGTTGTTGTTGTTTGAGACGGAATCTTGCTCTGTCACCCAGGCTGGAGTGCAGTGGCGCCATCTCGGCTCACTGTAACCTCCAACTCCCAGGTTCAAACAGTTCTCTGCCTCAGCCTCCTGAGTAGCTGGAATTACAGCTGCGCACCACCACGCACAGCTAAATTTTTTGTATTTTTAGTAGAGAGAGTTTCACCATGTTGGCCAGGCTGGTCTTGAACTCCTGACCTCGTGATCCACCCGCCTCAGCCTCCCAAAGTGCTGGGATTACAGGCGTGAGCCACCGCCCCGGCCTAGGAATCTGCATTTTTACCAAACAGCCACGTGACCCTGGTGGAGGAACCGCCCGCGGAGAACCACTGGAGTAGTGAGTTCCTACTGGCCTCCAGCTCTCTTGGTCTGGACAAGTGGTGCCAGGGTACCTAGTGCCAGGTGAGACAGCGCCAGGGCCACACTCAGGGGTGACAGGATGAGGTTGGGGCAGGTGGACGTTTGAGCCACCAGGGAGAACAGGTCGGCAGTGAAGGCCATCATGGCCCGGGCCAGCCTGTGGGTCTGCTCTGGGGTGGGGTCTCTGCTGCAGACTCCTGGGGGACTCTTCAGGGCAGTCTGGCCACCAGGCTCCTGCAGGGACAGATCAGGGGTCAGGGAGGTCAAGGGGTCAGCTCCAGGTTCTGTGTTGAAGGCCTTGTCACAGCCCCTGTGCCTGAGGACAGCAGGGCCTTGTCCCAGCCCCAGGGAAGAGGGAGCGTCAGACGGAGGGCACTGGCATTCTGGGGCCTGGCGCCCACCTTCGGTCCTCCCCACCCTCTCTCCCTTCTGGCCTCTGGACTCCAGAGCCTCAGCCTCAGCACGCGCCCCCACCCCCCGACCCCTGCCGATGGGCCCTCCTCCCTCTAGCCCCGCCCACTCTTCCCCAGCCCCACCTGGTTGTACCTGGTTGCCCAACTTGAGGAGGGTAAGTGGGGACACCTGCTCCTGGTTCGGCCCGCTAGTTAGCTGCGGAAAGGAGCAAGCAGATGGAGACCGACCCTTCCCACAGGCCCCCCACCCTGCCCAAGCCACCAGTGAGACCCCCGGGACCTTCCCCCCATCACAGGCTCCTCACTCCCCAGTACCTGCCAGCCCAAGGGCTCCATGGCGCTCACAGGGGAGAACTGTGGAGAAAGGGATGAGGATAGGAGGTCCCCTCGGAGCCAAGCCCTCCCTCCATGCCAACGCCCCTCTTCTTCCCCCTCCACCCCACCCCACCTTGACTTCAGCCCAGCCTCACCACGGAGCAGGGGCCTTGCAGGCAGGACCAGCTGAGCACCAGGAGCCCCCAGAGCAGCGCCATGTTCCTGTGGCAGGGACAGAAAGCTCTGTTCCCATCTCACATCCCCACGCCCGCCAGGGAATCCTACCCACGCGATCACAGATAACGCCAAGTCCTGGGTCATGATTGCCAAGGGGAAGAAGCAGGCTCCAGAATCAGAACAGACCCCAAACACACGAGCAGCGGCTCCCACTCCTGCAGCTGGGACATCCGCCCTGGCTTCTCCCCCTTTTTAGTTTCTGGTGTTTCATATTTCATGCATTTCATGCACTGAGGGTGTTTTGGTGAATAGGAGGGAGATACCAAATCAAAAACGTTCTCATTCTACAAGGCCCTGCGCTGTGAATCAGATCTGTGTCTGAATCCAGGCTACCTCTTGCCAAAGGACCTCGGCATTTCCCGTAACTCCACCAGGCTTGGCCTTACCTTGTAAAACGGTGGCACAAGTCCCTCACTCTTCTCACATGCATGGTGAGGACCAAAATAAGACCGTCTTTTTGGGATTTTTTGTTGTTTATTTTTTGAGACGGAGTTTCGCTCTCGTTGACCAGGCTGGAGTGCAGTGGCAGGATCTCGGCTCACCGCAACCTCCACCTCCCAGGTTCAAGCGATTCTCCTGCTTCAGCCTCCCGAATAGCTGGGATTACAGGCATGCACCACCACGCCTGGCTAATTCTGTATTTCTTAGTAGAAACGGGGTTTCTCTGTGTTAGTCAGGCTGGTCTTAAACTCCCGACCTCAGGTGATCCTCCTGCCTCGGCCTCCCAAAGTACTGGGATTACAGGCATGAGCCACTGCACCCGGCAAAAGACCATCTTTGTGGCCAGGCACGGTGGCTCAAGCCTGTAATCCCAGCACTTTGGGAGGCCAGGGGCAGGTGGATCACCTGAGGTCGGGAGTTCAAGACCAGCCTGGCCAACATGGTAAAACCCCATCTCTACTGAAAATACAAAATTAGCCAGGCGTGGTGGTGGGCCCCTGTAATCCCAGCTACTCGGGAGGCTGAGGCAGAGAACTGCTTGAACCCGGGAGGCGGAGGTTGCAGTGAGCCGAGATCACGCCACTGCACTCCAGCCTGGGCGACAGAGCAAGACTCTGTCTCAAAAAAATAAATAAGACCATCTTTGTAAACCCTGAGTACAATGCTTGGCACTCCCCCGATGGCTGGGGTCAGCTTGGCTCAAGGCCACCTCTTCTGGGAAGCCTGCCCTGAAGCCTCCACCGCAGAGCTCCAACACAGAGCTCCTACCCAGCCTGCTGCATCCATTTAGCCTGTCTTTTTTTTTTTTTTTTTTTTTTTTGAGATGGAGTTTCATTCTTATCATGTAGGCTGGAGTGCAATGGCACGATCTCGGCTCACTGCAACCTCCACCTCCTGGGTTAAAGCGATTCTCCTGCCTCAGCCTCCCGAGTAGCTGGGATTACAGGCATGTGCCACCATGCCTGGCTAATTTTGTATTTTTAGTAGAGACAGGGTTTCTCCATGTTGGTCAGGCTGGTCTCGAACTCCTGACCTCAGGTGATCCACCTGCCTCAGCCTCCCAAAGTGCTGGGATGACAGGCATGAGCCACCACGCCTGGCCCCAACCCGTCTTTCTCAGGCTGGTCAGGTCTTGCCCACAAGGCTGGACATACCTGTGAGGCCCTGAGGTCTCACCAGGGGTGGCAAGGCAGCCAGAGAGCTGCCTTTTGACCCAGCAGCAGAGCCCAGTGAATGACTCTGGCCAGAGCCACCTCTGCACTTAGGAGCATCACAGGCCTCTGCTCCAGGCTGGCTCTGGGAAGGGCAGGTGTTGGTCTCAGGAGGATAAGTCAGAGCAGGTCTCAGCTACCTCCAGCCCACCCCCATCTTGGGGCCAACCCTTCTGGAGGATCCTTTGGTCCCCCCGGCCCCACCCCCATCCCACACAAGAGCCCTTGGCCAGGGCCCCGACTCCGACCTGGGCATTAGAATCTTCTTGCCAAGAACAGGCTCCAGTTTTTCAAGTCCCAGGAGAGGCTGGGGAGTGACAGGCCTCCTGAATAAATCCCAGACCCCTCAGCCAGGGAGGCAGCTCCCTCCTCCTCTCCTACCCAAGGAGCAGGCCGAGCAGCCCCTCCCCTCATACCTCTGCGGGCTCCTTGCTGCCACACACAACGTTCCTCTGGCCCCACTTGGGTGCTCCTCACTCTCTGCCCAGGCTCCAGCTGGCCCAGCCCACCCCTCCCCTCCCACCAGGACCTTTACTCTCAGCCAACCCCTGTTCAGATTGCTTTCTCTTCTGGTAAATATTGACTTGCACATCCAGTTAAACATTGATCTTGAAGCCAGAAGCCCCTTTCCCACCAGGGCATCTAACCCTGAGGCAGCCACGCAGAACCCCCTATATTTGGGTCCCCCCCCCCGAGCCTGGAAAGAGAAAGTTCAGGAGGAGAGAGTTGAAGAGACTGGATCTGGCTAGCCAAGAGGGCGGATCCAGAAAGCACAGGAACCTAGCACTGTGTTAAGCCTTCCAGAGACCCCACGAGGTGTGGATTATCCCTGGTTCAGCCAGGCTCAGAGAGGCCATGTGACCTGCCCAAGTACACAGAGCTGGGCTGAGGCACATCCAGATTCTCACTCCCAATGTCCTTTCTTCTCCCAGAGAGCTGCCTCCCGCTCCTGAGGGGAGGAAAGGGGAAGCCACAAGAGCCTATGCAGAGAGCCGAGGATAGGAAGCCCACCCCCAACCTTCCAAGCCCAGGATCAGGTTGGCTGCCTTCAGACTGGGATGGAAGGCAGGGGGTGAGGGAGGAGAAATGAGAAGGACTCAACTTCTCCCACCGTCCTGCCACTCCAGAGCAATGTCTCTTTCCCCTACCCAAGAGCGAGGGTTCTGGAAACTGACCTGGGGCTGTATGAACCAGAAGCCTGGCAGCCCATGCAAAGATCAGGCTGCTTCCCACCCTCACTGTCCGACACCTCACTCCCTGCATCAGGCTCCTTCCCACCCTCACTGTCCTGCTCCTCACTCCCTGCATCAGGCCGCTTCCCGCCCTCACACCTGCTCCTCACTCCCTACATCGGGCTCCTTCCCACCCTCACTGTCCGGCTCCTCACTCCCTGCATCAGGCCGCTTCCCACCCTCACACCTGCTCCTCACTCCCTGCATCAGGCCGCCTCCCACCCTCACTATCCTGCTCCTCACTCCCCGCATCAGGCTCCTTCCCACCCTCACACCTGCTCCTCACTCCCTGCATCAGGCTCCTTCCCACCCTCACTGTCCGGCTCCTCACTCCCTGCATCAGGCTCCTTCCCACCCTCACTGTCCTGCTCCTCACTCCCTGCATCAGGCCGCTTCCCGCCCTCACACCTGCTCCTCACTCCCTGCATCAGGCTCCTTCCCACCCTCACTGTCCGGCTCCTCACTCCCTGCATCAGGCTCCTTCCCACCCTCACTGTCCTGCTCCTCACTCCCTGCATCAGGCTCCTTCCCACCCTCACTGTCCTGCGCCTCACTCCCTGCATCGGGCCACTTCCCACCCTCACTGTCCTGCTCCTCACTCCCTGCATCAGGCCGCCTCCCACCCTCACTGTCCGGCTCCTCACTCCCTGCATCAGGCCCCCTCCCACCCTCACTGTCCTGCTCCTCACTCCCTGCATCAGGCTCCTTCCCACCCTCACTGTCCTGCGCCTCACTCCCTGCATCGGGCCACTTCCCACCCTCACTGTCCTGCTCCTCACTCCCTGCATCAGGCTCCTTCCCATCCTCACTGTCCAGCTCCTCACTCCCTGCATCAGGCTCCTTCCCACCCTCACTGTCCGGCTCCTCACTCCCTGCATCAGGCTCCTTCCCACCCTCACTGTCCTGCTCCTCACTCCCTGCATCAGGCTCCTTCCCACCCTCACTGTCCTGCGCCTCACTCCCTGAATCAGGCTCCTTCCCACCCTCACTGTCCTGCGCCTCACTCCCTGCATCAGGCCGCTTCCCGCCCTCACACCTGCTCCTCACTCCCTGCATCAGGCCACTTCCCACCCTCACTGTCCTGCTCCTCACTCCCTGCATCAGGCTCCTTCCCACCCTCACTGTCCGGCTCCTCACTCCCTGCATCAGGCTCCTTCCCACCCTCACTGTCCTGCGCCTCACTCCCTGCATCAGGCTCCTTCCCACCCTCACTGTCCTGCGCCTCACTCCCTGAATCAGGCTCCTTCCCACCCTCACTGTCCGGCTCCTCACTCCCCGCATCAGGCCGCCTCCCACCCTCACTGTCCTGCTCCTCACTCCCTGCATCAGGCTCCTTCCCACCCTCACTGTCCGGCTCCTCACTCCCTGCATCAGGCTCCTTCCCACCCTCACTGTCCTGCGCCTCACTCCCTGCATCAGGCTCCTTCCCACCCTCACTGTCCTGCGCCTCACTCCCTGCATCAGGCTCCTTCCCACCCTCACTGTCCTGCTCCTCACTCCCTGCATCAGGCTCCTTCCCACCCTCACTGTCCGGCTCCTCACTCCCTGCATCAGGCTCCTTCCCACCCTCACTGTCCTGCGCCTCACTCCCTGAATCAGGCTCCTTCCCACCCTCACTGTCCTGCGCCTCACTCCCTGCATCAGGCCGCTTCCCGCCCTCACACCTGCTCCTCACTCCCTGCATCAGGCCACTTCCCACCCTCACTGTCCTGCTCCTCACTCCCTGCATCAGGCTCCTTCCCACCCTCACTGTCCTGTTCCTCACTCCCTGCATCAGGCTCCTTCCCACCCTCACTGTCCTGCGCCTCACTCCCTGCATCAGGCTCCTTCCCACCCTCACTGTCCTGCGCCTCACTCCCTGCATCAGGCTCCTTCCCACCCTCACTGTCCTGCGCCTCACTCCCTGCATCAGGCTCCTTCCCACCCTCACTGTCCTGCGCCTCACTCCCTGCATCAGGCTCCTTCCCACCCTCACTGTCCTGCGCCTCACTCCCTGCATCAGGCTCCTTCCCACCCTCACTGTCCTGCGCCTCACTCCCTGCATCAGGCTCCTTCCCACCCTCACTGTCCTGCGCCTCACTCCCTGCATCAGGCTCCTTCCCACCCTCACTGTCCTGTGCCTCACTCCCTGCATCAGGCCGCCTCCTACCCTCACTGTCCTGCTCCTCACTCCCTCCATCAGGCCCCTTCCCACCCTCACTGTCCTGGAAACTGCTGGGTCTCGACTTTCCCCACCCTGACACCACCAGCAAGATAAGCCTCAGGCTGGGCGTGGTGGCTCATGCCTGTAATCCCAACACTTTGGGAGGCCGAGGCAGGAGGATCGCTTGAGCCCAGGAGTTGGAGACCAGCTTGGGCAACATAGTCAGACTCCATCTCTATTGAAAAAAAAAAAAAAAGACAAGCCTCAGTTCACCCCATGGCTCTTCCAAAGGATTTATTGGTCCTATTTACATCTATTGCAAATTGTGAGAAGGCAGCAGGGGCCAACCCTTGGACCTCATCTCTGTCTAGAATGTGAGGTCGCAGGGATGCTTAAGTCTTCCTCTGGCAGAGACCCGAGGTGCAGAGATGATTCTTCTCAACCCTTCTCTCAGGGTCGTGGAGCCCCAGCAGGGGTTCAGGGCCCAGAGGCTGCCCCCTCAGCTGAAGGCACAAACACTGTGGTAGGGGTGGGCAGACAACGCATGGACTCACTCCTGGCAGGCGCCACTGGCCAAGTGCACCTTTTCCCCCTGCTCCTAGCCTCCTTCTTCCTTCCCGTCCCGGTCCCACACTGGCCAGGGCCTGGATGGGTGGCCACTTAAACCCCAGACCCAAGCCCTTAACTCCTGGACCACGGCCAGCCTTCCTTAGGCTGGAATCCAAGCACCATCAGTGCCCTGGACCAGGCCAGCTTCCCTGTCCTAGAGGGATGGGACAGAGAGTGCCCAGCGGGGGCTGAGGGGCTAGAGACCGGCTGGGCAGGGCCAGTCTCCCTTCCCCTTCCCGAGCTTCCCTGTCCTCATGTGGACCCAGAGGGCAGAGCTGGGGAGAAGTGAAGGTAGCAACGCTTCCTCCTGCTCTTAACTTCCTGCTTGCTAGGAGCCCTGTGTCCCCAAGCCATGAATGAGACCCCTCTGGCAGGCTTGGTGGCTCTGGTGATTCAGGGGCCAGGACTCCCCCACTCCATTTGCAGGCCCTAGTTGGCAGGCCATGTGGGCACCCAGGGCGTGGGACCCAGGGCCTCCCTGGAGGGAGCTGCTGCTCAGGGAACAGGGTGAGCGGACACGCGCCCGCAGATGTCTTCCCACCCTTGCCCGGCCAGCTCCTGCCTCAGTCTATGCCAGGAGGCGGATAACCCCGTTGTCTGAGCCCAGCAGGAGGTGGCGTTTAGTGGGCAGCAAGGCCAGGCTGGTGAGCGTGCCGCGGAAGTTCTCAGAGCTGAGCTTCGTGGTGGCCTGCGAGGGTGGCTCAAGCAGGGAGCAGACGCCAATCTTGTTGGACACGGTGCCAGTGACCACCTCACTGCCGTACAGGTCAAAGGTGTGGATGGGGTCGGATGCTGACTTGTAGTGATGGGTGGGCTTCTGCTCCAGCTCCTTCCAGACGGTCAAGGAATGGTCAGAGGAGGAGCTGACCAGGACGCTGCCCTCCACCGCCTGTCCCGGGAGAGGAGACCCTCAGCAGGAGCCTGGGTCCTTCTGCATACCCTTGGGCCCCAAGGCCTTCCCAGTTCCCTCCGCAGTTTCTCTCCAGGGAGACAGGCCGTCCTGGGTGGGTGACAAGCCACCACCCTCCCACACACACCATATTCACGTTGGTTCATTTTAATACGCTCAGCATCCGTAACCCAGTCGTCACTCTAACTTGAGAACTACGCACAGGCATGGTGCCAGGCGTGCACGTGACGACCTTGACCTTCGTAACAACCCTATGCGGTGGATGCTGCCATTGTCCCCATTTCACAAACAGGAAAAGCGAGGCTCAGAGAAGTGAAGTAACCATACCAAGGTCATGGGGCCAGCAAGCAGCAGAGCTGGGATTAACACCCAGGCTGACCCCAGAGCCCTCCTGACACTTTCTTGGAAAGTTAGAATTTGGGGGCACCTTGAGCTGAGGGTTCCCTGGGGCTCTGGAGGGAGCCAGCGACAGCCTGCTGTCAGCAGGGCAATGCAAGACTCCTGGCCTCCAGCCAAGCTGGGGAGGAAAGTCCCAGCTGCCTGCAGAAATCCTCCCACACGAAGCCCTGTTCCTCCCCTCCTGGGCCTCCCTGAGCAGCTCCCTGAGGCCTGTGACTGAGAATGGAGGGAGGGGGAGGGGAAGGAGACGGGGGCAGGATCCCCATGCCCAGGTGTGCTCCTGCCCCCAGCCAGGGCAGCCCGGCAGGGCCATGGACTCTGCTCAGCGGTCTACAGGCAGTAAACAGCCTCCCAGCTCAGCTTTATTTAACCTGAACTAGGTCACGGACAGGGCCTGACCCCTGATCCTCCAAGCAAGACAAATATGGACAAGGGTTACTCATTAGAACATCGCCATGAGCAACAGGGTCAGCCCTGCCCCATAGCTCCCGCCCCACTGCCCCGTGGCTCCCGCCCCCACGGCCTGCCTCCTGCTGAGACCCCTGCAGTGCAACTGGCTCCCAAGGTGGACCGAGAGGGCTACCCTCCCTGCCCAGTTAGTCCTGGACCAGGTATATAAGACAGACCAGTTCGAGCCTGAACCCGGGCAGGCAGACCCTAAGCAGGGGTGATGGCTGGACAGGGGCGGGGGTTGGGCAGCAAGGGGAGGGAGACCCGGCCCGTCACCTTGATCTGCAGAATGTCCCCCTCGTGGGCTGGCCAGCCTCGCAGAACCAGGCCCGTGCGGGTGTCCAGGAGCACCATGAAGCCTGAGGAGAAGCCGGCCACGACACTACGGCCACTGGGGCTGATGGCCAGGGCACGGACAAGCCCAGGGTTCAGCCCACCGCCCAGTCGGAACTCGTGCTGCAGGGAGAGGGCGGCTGAGCTGAGGCACCACCTTCCCATCTCACACTCCCCAAGGCCCTGCCCACCACCCAAGCCCACACAGCAGGAAGGCCTGAGCCTCTGACCCTCATCAGGGGGCATGAAAAGCCCAGAACCCCACCCCCATCACAGGCCAGAGTCCTGCCCCGCAGGATGTGTGGCTGTGGGTGATCTAGCACCAAAGAGAAACTAACTAGGGCCCCAGAACAACATCCTGGCTTTCTGTTTTTGGGGAGTCTCTCCTCCTTGCCAGGTCCCCAGAGAACCAGGCGAGTGCTCAGGGAACTGGACCCCCCTGACCTGCAGACCAGGCTTCCTGCAGTCCACAAAGCGCAGGGTAGAGTCAGAGCTGGCCATGGTGATGCTGGTGTGGGGGGCGGGCATGACAGCCACCGCAGTCAGGGGCACCCGGCTGTCCAGCGGCTCCACTGTGCGAAGGGTCTTCCCTGGGAAGGAAAGTCACAGTGGATCTGGGGTCCCAGCAGCTGACGGAAGAGCCCTGGGAGCTTCTAATCCCCCAACTCACCGCACACCTGCCTCCCGTCCCCCAGGGATCCTTAGAAAATGCTAAAGATGTTTCTCTTTTTTTGAGACGGAGTCTCGCTTTGTCGCCCAGGCTGGAGTGCAGTGGTGCAATCTCGGCTCACTGCAACCTCCACCTCCCAGGTTCAAGCAATTCTCTTGCCTCAGCCTCCCGAATAGCTGGGACTACAGGCGTCCGCCACCACGCCTGGCTAATTTTTTGTATTTTTGGTAGAGACGGGGTTTTACCATGTTAGCCTGGATGGTCTCGATCTCCTGACCTCATGATCCACCCACTTTGGCCTCCCAAAGTGCTGGGATTACAGGCGTGAGCCACCGCGTCCGGCCTTTTTTTGTATTCTTAGTAGAGATGGGGTTTCACCATGTCAGCCAGTCTGGTCTCCAACTCCTGGCCTCCCAGAGTGCTGAGATTACAGGCGTGAGCCACTGCATCGGCCTAAAGATGTTTCTTGACTCTCCCACCTTCCTGCTTCCATGGCCCGGCCAGGCTCCCATCCCCAAAGCAACCTCCTCTCTCTGCACAGTGCTGCTGACCCAATGCCACCTCCCTCTGTCTTCCCCGACACCATCCCTTTCCCCCTTTTAACCATATTTCTCCCTATGGTGACGCCAAAAAATAAGCAACCATTGACCAAATATCTGCTACACATGAAGCCAAAACCCTACATGTGTTATCTTCTTCTTTTTTTTTTTTTGAGACAGAGTCTCGCTCTGTTGCCCGGGCTGGAGTGCAGTGGTGCGATCTCGGCTCACGGCAACCTCTGCCACCTGAGTTTGAGAGATTCTCCTGCCTCAGCCTCCTGTGTAGTTGGGAGTACAGGCACCCGCCACCACGCCCGGCTAATTTTTGTATTTTTAGTAGAGACGGGGTTTCACCATGTTAGCCAGGATGATCTCGATCTCCTGACCTCGTGATCCACCCGCCTCAGCCTCCCAAAGTGCTGGGATTACAGGCGTGAGCCACTGCGCCCGGCTGTGTGTTATCTTCTACGCCAGTTTTTCTGATTCTCAGTTTATAGATGGGAAAGGAGACGCTTCCAGCAGCAGGAACTTGCTCAAGGTCACTCAGCAAGTAAGCCGGTGGAGCCAATTCAGACTCAAGTCTAACAGATTCGAAGCCCTAACTGTTCTCCTAGGCGGCCTCGCTGGGTCTCCCCAAACTCCGCAGCATTACAGCCCCACCCTCGGGCCCCCTTCCTGGAGGCCTGGTGGGGCGCAGGAGCAGGAAGAGAACAGGCCTCACCTGGGCCCGCTCACCTGTGAAGGGGTCCCAGACGTGCACAGCCCCGTCACAGCTCACCACGTGCTGTGGGGCCTCAAGCTGGCCCACGAAGAAGACGCTCTTGCGGTGCTGGGTGTAGACGAGGCGTGGGGCCGTCTCGCTGGTCCCGTCGCCGTAGTTGTACAGCGGCCAGAGGCGCACGGTACGATCCTTGCTGCCGCTCAGGAAGAAGTCCTCGCTGCTCAGGGGTGCCACGCACTTGACGGCCCCCGAGTGGCCCGGGAAGCTCTGCAGGCGGATCTGGTGGAAGTGAAAGTGGGCATCCTGCTGGCTCACGCCGATCTCGTACTGCCAGTACGCCAGCCAGTTTCCGCTCAGCCCGTGCACGCTCCGCGGCAGCTCCTGCTTCAGGGCGTTGTCGTCGCTCCCGCTGCCCAGGCCCCCGCCACCCACCCCCGAGATGGGGCCCAGTGGTCCGGGGTTCTCAGGCCGAGAGTCATTGGGGATCTGAATGCGGTTCCCCACCAGGACGCTCCCAAAGGTCCCTGAGTGGCCGTCATCCTGAGGGCAGCCCCCACCATGGGGGTCCCACTCGGGCCCGGTGCCGGGCATGGTGGGCTCCACGCTGGCAGGGTTGCGACTGCTGGGGCTGATGCTCTCCAAGTACAGCGCCGCCAGCTCCCCAACCAGCTCGTGGTTGGGGATGATTTTCCGGATGATGTCACCTGGATAGGAGTGGGAGAGGTCCTGAGACAGGGAAGATGGCAGGCGGCTGCTATCACCCATCCAAGGACTCGGGAGCCACAGAAGATGGGGCAGGAACTGGCTCTGCAACTCTGGGCAAGTAACTCTGTCTCTGAGCCTCAGTTTCCTCCTCAGTGAAATGTGGATTCATTCCGTTGTGATGTACACATGAGCATCTTCTATATGTGCCGTGCCGTGCTGGGCACTAGGAATAGAATATGGAACAAGACAGGTGGTGCCCTGGCCTCCCAAGCTTAGATTTCAGTGGCAGGATGATAACAGGTGTAACCACAAGGCTGTCTGTCCTCTCCAGGGAGATGACACGCTGAAACGATCAGCACAGCACCGTGCAGGGCCCAGAGGGGAAGCTTCGTAAACAGGAGGCCACTCCTTCCCTCTCGCCAGCTCCTGCGGACCGCCAGTCCACCTCCCTGACTCTCCTGCCTTCCCCAGGGACACTACAGGCCAGCTTCTGGGCCTCTCTTGCTGGCTACTGCTCAGTCCTTGTTTGTGTGTCACCTTGGGGGTAGGGGTCTGAGGCCAAATCCCTTTGCTCTCACCCATCCTGCTGGCTCTTAGAACCCACTGCTGACTCTGGGGCAAGGGCAGAGAATGGGGCCTCCCAAGGGAGGAGACAGCCACGAAGACTGTGATGGGGAACGTGATGGGGCAGTACCCAACAGGCAGGAGAAGGGCACGTAGATTGTGTATGCCATCTCCAGGGTGAACACCTTCTGCAGCTCGTCCAGCAGGGCGGGGTCCACGGGCCGCTGCTGCCCATCAGAGAAGACCACCTGTGGCAGCTGGCCCTCACCACGGCCCGCAGGGTCCAGCTTCAGATCCTATGAGCAAGACACCCAGGGGGTCAGCCGGGTCCACAGCTCCCACCCTGGCCCACCCTGGTCCTCGCCACGGCCCGCGGAGTCCAGCTTCAGATCCTATGAGCAAGATGCCCAGGGGGTCACCCAGGTCCACAGCCCCCGCCCCAGCCCGCCCTGGCCCAGCAGATCTGCCCACCTGTTGCCGAAGCTCATGCAGCTGAGAGAAGACCTGGAAAAAGGTGGCCACGGGCTCGCTCAGGTGCTGCTGGACCATCTCCTGTCCAATGCGCAGGCAGATGAGGGCGATGAGGCTGATGGTTTTCACACACAGGATGGTCCGAGCCTGGGCCCCACTTGGGAACCTGGAAACAGAGCTCATGAGCTCCAGCCCGCCGTTCTGCAGGACTTGACCAGAATCTAGCAAAATCTTTATTTATTTTTATTTTTATTGAGATGGAGTCTTGCTCTGTCATCCAGGCTGGAGTGCAGTGGTGCGATCTCGGCTCACTGCAACCTCTGCCTCCCGGGTTCAAGCGATTCTCCTGCCTCAGTCTCCCGAGTAGCTGGGACTACAGGCATGAGCCACCACACCCGGCTAATTTTTTTTGTATTTTTAGTAGAGACAGGGTTTTGCCATATTGGCCAGGCTGGTCTCGAACTCCTGACCTCAAGCGATCCACCCACCTTGGCCTCCCAAAGTGCTGGGATTACAGGCATGAGCCACAGCACCCAGCATATATATATATACTTTTTTTTTTTTTTTTGAGACAGAGTCTTGCTCTGTCGCCTAGGCTGCAGTACAATGGCGTGATCTCAGCTCACTGCAACCTCCGCTTCCTGGGTTCAAGCAATTCTCCCGCCTCAGCCTCCTGAGAACCTGGGATTGCAGCCTCCCGAGAACCTGGGATTGCAGGCACCTGCTGCCATGCCCAGCGAAGATTTTGTATTTTTAGTGGAGACGGGGTTTCACCATGTTGGCCAGGCGGGTCTCAAACTCCTGACCTCGTGATCCACCCGCCTTGGCCCCCCAAAGTGCTGGGATTACAGGGGTGAGACACCACGCTCGGCCTTTATATATATTTTTAGAGAGGGGGTCTCATTTTGTTGCCCAGGCTGGTCTTGAACTCCTGGGCTCAAGCAATCTTCCCGCCTCAGCCTCTCAAAGTGCTGGGATTACAGGCATGAGCCACCGTGCCCGGACATATCAAAAGCTTTAAATGAAAGAGCTCCAAGACCAACTGGTCCAAACCAGATGAGGAAACTGAGGCACAGGAAAAGGGTGTGGTTTGCTCAGGGTCACACAGCCGGGATCAAAACCAGGACTCTTGACACCCAGTCCAGTGTTACGTCCTCTCCCCTGAGCTTCCCACCCCCTCCTGGGCAGCCCCTCCGCTGGGCCGGTCCCCCTACATCAGCTGGGGCAGAGGCCTACCCCGTGACGAGGGAGGTGAGGAAGCTGAGCACGGGCAGCAGGACCTCATGGCTGATCCGGGGCAGGATGTCCATGAGTGTGGTGTCTGAGAGGTACACGATGATCTTCTGAGTCAGCGTCACCGCGGCCAGCAGCCCCGCCTCCTTACGGCTGTTCAGTCGGCTGGGGCCTGAGGCACTCCCTGGGGCCACCTAGAGCCACCGAGCAGATGAGGGCCGGGCAGCCCCACAGACCCCCTGGCACCAAGAGAGCCCGGGCCGGCCCTCAGGTCCTCAGCCTTCCCAGCCCCGGGCCTGCCAAACCAGCGACTGACCAGGTAGCTGATGTAGGGCAGGTACTGGTAGGTGAGGACAGGCTCCCCATACAGGCGGGCGATGTGGAGGAGGCAGCTGAGCACAGGCCCTGACACGATGTCGCCCAGGACCGGCCTCTTCTGGTAGATGTTGCCGGCGCTCAGCGGTGGGCTCTCGCCACTGCTCACTGTGAACTGCTGCCGAGTGGGTCCTGCCACGGAAGGGCCAGCAGCCCTGAGTCGCCAGTGGAGGGCCGGGGGTAGCCTGGCCCTGCAGGGCTGTGCTGGCCGCTTGAGCTCACTCTAGCTGGGGGCCCAGCCTGGCCCTACCCAAGGCTGGCACTTAGACTGGGACCCAGCACCTGGCCGGGGGGTGGTTTGAGGGAGGGGTGGGAAGGATCCCCGCCGGAGAGCGCTGAAGCTAGGCAGAGGGCCTGGGAGAAAGCCTCATCTCCAGCACTGACCGCAGGCCTCCTTACCAACATAACAAGACGTCAGCAGGCGGAGCAGGTTCCGGGCCACGTGGCGAGAGGCCACTGTGGGGCCGAGCTTGGCAGACAGCCAGCGGACCATCTTGCAGGCTGTATCTGCGGGGTGGGAGCAGGCCCTGAGCTCCTCAGATAACAGGGGCTCATCACCCCTCCCACCCCACCCCACGGCACCCCACTCAACCACCTGCGGCTGCAGCTCTGCCAAGAGCCCAGCCCGGGCCGGCTGTCCCACACCACCCCCTCCACGTAACAGCGGCAGAGGTGCCCAGGCCCTGGCCTGTGGGACTCTGGCTGCCGCAGGTTCCTCTCCACAGGCACGACCCGCAGGAAGTTAGCCTGCCCGTGGGTCTTCTGAAACTCCTTAACAAGGCCTGGCCCGGCCCTGGCCACCTTCCCTCTGGCCTCTCTTCCCTCCACTCCCTCGGTCTCGCCATAACGGCCTTTCCCTGCTTCTCTTCTTCTTCTTCTTCTTCTTTTTTTTTTTTTTTGAGACAGAGTCTCGCACTGTTGCCCAGGCTGGAGTGCAATGGCACAATCTCAGTTCATTGCAACCTCCACCTTCCACCGCCCTGACTCTCCTCCTTGAACCTCCGGGTTCAAGCGATTCTCCTGCCTCAGCCTTCCAAATAGCTGAGATTACAGGCACCCTCCACCATGCCCAGCTAAGTTTTTGTATTTTTAGTAGAGATGGGGTTTCACCATATTGGCCAGGATGGTCTCAATCTCCTGACCTTGTGATCCATCCGCCTCAGCCTCCCAAAGTGCTGGGATTACAGGCGTGAAGCACCGCGCCCGGTCCCCCGCTTCTCTTCTTTAATGGAACATGACAGCCTCAGAGCCTCACACATGCTGTTCCCTCAGCCTTCAGACTTTCTTTTTGCCCATTTTTGTCTACCTTCTTCCTACTCCTCCTTGAACCTCAACTGTCTCTCCTTTTAAGGAAGCCTGCTCTGACCCTTGAAAACTAGATGTAAAAGCACCATTTTTTTTTTCTTTTTTGAGACGGAGTCCCGCTCTGTTGCCCAAGCTGCAGTGCAGTGGTGTGATCTCAGCTCACTGCAACCTCCACCTCCTGGGTTCAAGTAATTCTCCTGCCTCAGCCTCCTGAATAGCTGGGATTACAGGTGCCCGCCACCACGCCTGGCTAATTTTTGTATTTTTAGTAGAGATGGGGTTTCACCATGTTGGCCAGGCTGGTCTCGAACTCCTAACCTCAAGTGATCCTCCTGCCTCGGCCTCCCAAAGTGCTGGGATTAGAGGCGTGAGCCACGGCGCCCGGCCGAAAAGCTCCATGTTGCACTCCCTCCTAGGAATGCAGCCATGTTCTTTATCGCACTAACATAATACACTTGCTTAAGACTGTCTGCACTGCGGCATCTCGTCTGCTGGGTGTGAGCTCTGTGAAGGCAGGCCTACATTTGTGTTGCCGGTGGTCCTGGCTCGATCCACTGCTTGGCACAGAGTAGGTGCTCTGCCAGTGTGCAGGGAGAAGCAGGAGCTGTTTTTTTGTTTTGTTTTGTTTTTTTGAGATGGAGTCTCGCTCTGTCGCCCAGGCTGGAGTGCAGTGGTGCGATCTCGGCTCACTGCAAGCTCCGCCTCCCGGGTTCACGCCATTCTCCTGCCTCAGCCTTCCGAGTAGCTGGGACTACAGGTGCCTGCCCCCACGCCCGGCTATTTTTTTGTATTTTTAGTAGAGACGGGGTTTCACCTTGTTATTAGGATGGTCTCGATCTCCTGACCTTGTGATCCGCCCGCCTCAGCCTCCCAAAGTGCTGGGAATACAGGCGTGAACCACTGTGCTCGGCCAGCAGGAGGTGTTTTTGACCAACACCTCCCAGACCTGGGAACTTACCAAGGAGGATCTTCTGTTCTTTGCCTTCTGACTGCTCAGGCAGTGCCTCCTCCTCTTCTTCTCCATCTCCCCCACTGCCGCCGGCCACAACCGTCTCCATGGACAGCACCGTGTCAGACAGAGTGAGCTCAGATGCCCCGGTGACCTCCTCCTGCTCCCCCTCCTCCTCCTCTAGCACCACGCAGCTGTCCTCCTCCTCCTCTTCCTCCTCGGAGCCCTCGCTTTGCTTCAAGTCCTGGCTGCTGTCACCTGATCGAAGGCTGCTCTTGTCCACGGGGGCACCCCCCTCGTCTGGAGCCCGCTCCTCACCCAGGGAGGTCTCGCTGGTGCTGCTCTTGTCACTCAGCCGGCCCAGGCTCACAGCCTCAGCCTCCTGGGGCTGGGGAGACTCAGTCACATAGAGCCCGGCTTGGAAGTCCTCTGTCTCAGGGAGGTCAGCCTGGTCGTGGAAGCTGACGCCAGACGTGTAGTCTGGGAGCCCCAGGCCCGAGGAGGCAGGAGGCTCCCCATCCATGGGAATCTCCTCCCCAAAAGCACAGGAGCCAGGCCCGGCCCCGGGCAGCCCGCTCTCCTCCTCAGCAGCCCCTGCCAGGTCCTTGCTCTCCTCCTGGGAGGCCTCTGCGCCCGCCAGCACCTGCAGGACATGGGGCAGCAGGTGAGTGAGAAATGCCTGCAGGCCCAGCCGCACCATCAGCTGGGCCACAAAGCAGTCCGTGTACAGGTAGAAGCGGCCGTGTAGCTGGCAGGGGCTCTCGTAGGCACCAATGAGCGGCTTCAGGAGGTACTTATTGGCATTTTTGGGGCCCAGTGCCTTGGCAACAGGCTCAAACAGATACCAGGCCGTGTACACAGCTGTGTGCTCCTCGGACATGAGTGAGAGCACGAAGGGCAGCAGGATCTCCAGGCCCTCAGGGGTGATGTCCTTTAGCACCGCGCCCAGCTGCTGCCACAGAGCAAACACCAGCTCGCGCCCCTGGGCCTCGTCCTCCACACGCCTTGCCTGGTACAGGAGGATGAATCTGTGCAGTGCCGGGAAGTAGGGTGGGAAGGGAACCACGGAGCTGAAGGGGCTGAGAAGCTGGCTTGGGCAGGGTGGGGGCAGGCCCTGGGAGACAGGCCTGTACTCAAACAGTTGGTCCAGCTTGCCCCTCTCTGCTCCCATGGGGACTTCGGGGCCACTCATCTGCAGGAGTGTGTCCAGCACGGGCTGCAAAGACACAGGGACCTCCTTGGGGTGGCGCGTGCAGAGCCCTCGGACAGCCTGGAAGCGTACCCACAAAGGTGCATCGGGCTGCAGCGTCCGCACCCTGGTGGCAAACACCATCTCTGCCAATAGGACACCCAGCGCCTGCATGTCCCTGTGGAGTAGGCACTGCAGTGGCACAGCCGGCTGGACCCGGGGCTGCTCAGGCACCTCCAACAGGCCCCCTAGGCCTTTGGCCAAGAAGTTGCCCGTTTTCTCCAGCTCCTCCAGGGCCTGCATGGGATTGAAGCCCTCGGGAAGAAGAATCCTCCCCTCCTCACCCTCCCCAGGGTCTGCCCCAGCAGCTTTATTCCTGCGGCCTGGACGGGAGGCTGAGGCCACTGAGAAAGAGAGAAGTCCAGGGGACGCTTGACTGGAGGAGCCCAGCTGGTCACCTGCTTTCCCAGCAAGGGAAATGGAATCCAGAGCTTCTGTGGCCTGTTCCAAGTCGTCTTCTCCTGCCACCGGCCTGTCTCTGGTCCAGCTAGCCTCACAGGGAGTGGCCTCTAAAACTGGCCGGCCCACTCCATTTGGAAGCTGTCCCGGGTTTTCCGTGAAGTCCTCCCGGCCTGTGGTCTCCTGGATGGTCTGGACCAACAGCTTGGGGATGAGGGGAGGCTCGGGGGCAAGGGCAGGAGCCCCAGCCAGGCGCTGGGGGTGTGGCTGATCGAAGAGCTGCACCACCCCGTAGCTGGCCAGGTGAGTGTGGGCGTCCACCAGGTGCAGACACACATTCTTTTCCTTGACAGCCTCCTTACCCTGGAGTTTATAGCCAAACGTGAGGTCGATCCAATGGTGCAGGTCCCGGGATACCTCGCGGCTCTCCAGCAGGGCTCGGTGGGCAGCTACGAACTCCTGGCTGGAGCTGCACCAGGCTGGCACATCCAGGTCAGGCATGTCGGGGTGGATGGAGCGGAAGATAGAGGGATCGGTGTAGAACTCCGGAATGCACTCATCCGGGGTCCAGTTCTGCATCCGCTCCATGCTGGCCGGATACTCATGGGGCTCCCACTGCGCGCGGACGTGTCCGCAGAGCACCGACCGAGGCGTGCGCCGAGCCTTGTACACATAGTACGTGATGTCGGAGAGCACGTCTGAGATGTGGTGGGGAACATGAGGGGGTTCCCCGCCGCCCGCCCCGCCTGCTACGAATGCCTGCCGTGTCATCTCATACGTGAAGTCCAGTTGCTTATCCCCCTTGTTGAGGCGGAACTTGGACTTGCGCAGGTCTCGGAAGCGCCCATGGGGCGTAGTGAAGTCCACCACCCAGGGCAGCACGGGGTGGTAGTTGGGGTCCCCCTGCCGCCGACCTGCCAACCGATTCAGCTGCATGAGGTAGTGGAAGTTGCTGATGCGGCCGTGGACCCAATCTAGCACGAGGCTCCGAAGTTCCTCCTGGCCAGTGGGTTGCCCAGGTTGCCCTCCCTGCTCCTCTTGAGACACAATGCCCGCCTCATCCCTTGCCACAGGGGCCTCCTCATTCTCGTCCTCCTCGGGCCTCTCATAAGCACTCAGGTCCAGTCGCAGCTCGCTGCAAAGCTTCTCATCCACTGCGATGTGATACAAAGACAGGGCCCCACACGCCAGCCCCTGGCGGTGACAGGCGTCCATAGCCCTCAGCACGCGGAAGAGAATGAACAGCACCTTGGCCTGGCTGTTGGTCAGCTTGGCAGGGCTGAAGGTGACCACGTCATGTAGGGAGAACTGTACGTAAGGGTGTACCACATACAGCATCTCCGGCGACTCCAGCAAGGCCTCAGCCCGTAAAAGACTAGGGCAAGCAGGGCTGCCCCGAGGGGGGCAGGGGCCTTCTCTGGCATATGAAGGGCATTGGGTAGTTTCACCCACTGGCAGGAAGGAGCAACCATAGACCCTCTGCAGAGCCTGCCGTACTGAGTCCAAGGCAGGGACAGCTGAGGGGGCAGGGCTGTGACTGTACGGCTGGCCGTAAGTGTGGTATGCATGGCGCCACAGGTTGCGATAATTCTGGGCGGCAACCTCCTGCATGAAGCGAGTGAGGGTCTCAGGGCCGCAGGACCCGTCCTCAAAGGGCAGGCCCCCGCCCAGAGGGTAGGACAGTCTCCGCTTCCGCAGCCCATGCACCTCCACGCGCGTCCAGCCGGCAGGCAGCCTTTGCACAGAGCGCTGCAGGAGAGTCCTGACTTCCGCTTCTCCCAGGCCCTCTGCGCGGGGACAGGGTCCCAGGGGCAGCCGGCGATCGCGGAGGCTGGCCAGCCAGCGCGCAGGCACTAGGGCCACCACGTGGGTGCCCCCCGGGGCCGGAGCCAGCTGCCTGGGATCGATGCTCAGGTCCCTCTCCACGCTCCGGAGCAGCTCCTGCATGTCTGGGCTTGGCGGGGAATGCCAGCCCCCGGCCGGGGTTCTGAGAGCGCCTTCCCGCCCCCCGCTGCCCTGGGCCATCTCCTCCAGGCCGCCCGGGGGCAGCGCGGGGCTGAGCCCAGCCACGGCCCTGCTGGCGACGGCTTCCGGGGTGCCAGGCCGGCGGGGCTGGGATGGGCGCGGGACAGGGGCTGGGGCGGAGGCGGCCGCAGGAAGCCGGCGGCGGCGAAGAGGCGGACGGGGGGCGCGCTTACCCCTCCGCGGGTCCTGCGCTCCGGGCGCGGCGGGGCAGAGGCTGCCGGGCGCGAGCACCGGGCTCCACCGTGACGGGTCAGCTGACGCGGGTCACGTGATCGCCCCAGCACGGAAACAAGCGCACGTGGCTCCAGAGGCCCGGGCGGGACCCCGCTTCCTGCCCGGCGGCCTCCCCGCCCTCCCTCCCGCTGCTCCGCTCTGGCTCGGTCTGGGCTCCGCTTCCTCCCGGGGCTGAAAGGGTCTCCAGCCAGCTCCAGCCGGGCCCGGCGGAGGGCGATGCCGACCGCCCCACCCCTCCCTACTCCCTCCAGCACGCACCAGCGCGCGGGTCCCGGAGGCTGTTCCCAGAGATGCCAGCCTCTTAGTTAAGTGCGGACCGCACAACCAGGGGCAGAACTGGGACTTCTGTTGTGTCTATTTTTGAGACGGAGTCTTGCTCTGTCGCCCAGGCTGGAGTGCAGTGGCGCGATCTCGGCTCACCGCAACCTCTGCCTCCCGGGTTCAAGCGATTCTCTTGCCTCGGCCTCCCGAGTAGCTGGGACGTCAGGAGCGCGCCACCACGCCCGGCTAATTTTTGTATTTTTTAGTAGAGATGGGGTTTCGCCTTGTTGGCCAGGCTGATCTCGAACTCCTGGCCTCGTGATCCACCCGTCTCGGCCTCCCAAGGTGCTGGGATGACAGGCGTGAGCCACCGCGCCCGGCCAGAACTGGGACTTTTGACATGGAATCCCCCCGGCGCCTCCATGCCACCTTCCATAGGAAGGAGCTTTTTAACTTTCCTAAGTACTTCAACAGTCACATTCCATTTGGCCCTCGCAACACACTCTGTGAGGTAGGGAGGACAGTTATTACTGTTTATATTTTACAAGTGATAACCAACAACCGCCAGAGAGGCTTGTCCGCCTGGCGGAATGGAGACTTAGAAACTGGTGCCAGCCTTCTTTCTGCCCAGGAGCACTGCCTCCTGACAGCCCTCTCACGGCTTTTTAAAAAACAAAACTGGCCGGGTGCAGTGGCTCACGCCTGTAATCCCAGCACTTTGGGAGGCTGAGGCAGCTGGATCACGAGGTCAGGAGATCGAGACCATCCTGGCTAACACGGTGAAACCCCGTCTCTACTAAAAACACAAAAAATTACCTGGCCGTGGTGGGGGGCGCCTGTAGTCCCAGCTACTTGGGAAGCTGAGGCAGGAGAATGGCATGAACCCAGGAGGCAGAGCTTGCAGTGAGCCGAGATGGCGCCACTGTACTCCAACCTGGGCAACAGAGCGAGACTCCGTCAAAAAGAATAAATAAATAAATAAATAAATAAATAAATAAATAAATAAATAAAAATAAATAAATAAATAAAAATAAAACCAAATAAATAAATAAAAATAAATAAATAAAATAAAATAAAAATAAAACGAAACCCTGGGCTGTCTGAGGGAGAGAAGTGGCCCAGGCCCAGAGGCCTGGTGTTTTGGGGGAAGAAATGTTCCCCCAAGACTTCCTGTTGAAGATTGGCCTCTGCGGTACCACAGAGCCTGCCAGCTGTGGTCAGAGCCTCCAGATGTCACTGTGGCTGGGGGAAGGGTGCGGCACAGGATATGGAATAGAAACCAGACAGCCGGCACCAAAGCAACATGATTCCTCAAGGGGTCTTAGTTCTGACTCATCTGCAGGACAGATAGACCATTGTCTACAGTGAAACCACTGGCCCTGTTTCTTTTGTCTCCCTCTTAGGAGAGAGTTTGCCTCTTGAAGGAGTTTGGTGTACAGGTGTGAGGGTCCCATAAAGACACTTAGGAAAACTAGGCCTTGGCCGGTCACGGTGGTTCACACCTGTAATCCCAGCACTTTGGGAGGCCAAGGTGGGCGGATCATGAGGTCAGGAGTTCAAGACCAGCCCGGCCAACTTGGGGAAACTCCATCTCTACTAAAAACACAAAAAAATTAGCCGGGTGTGGCAGCGGGTGCCTGTAATCCCAGCTACTCAGGAGGCTGAGGCAGGAGAATCGCTTGAACCTGGGAGGCGGAGGTTGCAGTGAGCTGAGATCACACCACTGCACTCCAGCCTGGGTGGCAGAGCGAGACTCCGTCTCAAAAAAAAAAAAAAGAAAGAAAGAAAAGAAAAGAAAACTAGGCCTGATAGGAGAGAAAATAGGAGGGCCGGGTGCGGTGGCTCATGCCTGTAACCCAGCACTTTGGGAGGCTGAGATGGGCAGATCACCTGAGGTCAGGAGTTCAAGACCAGCCTGACCAACATGGAGAAACCCCATCTCTACTAAAATACAAAAATTAGCCAGGTGTGGTGGCGGACGCCTCTAATTCCAGCTACTTGGGAGGCTGAGGCAGGAGAATCGCTTGAACCCAGGAGGCAGAGGTTGCAGTGAGCCAAGATAGCGCCACTGCACTCCAGCCTGGGCAACAGAGTGAGACTCCATCTCAAAAAAAAAAAAAAAAAGAGAGAGAAAACAGGAATGTCTCAGCCATGATCTGATTTCATCTGTCTCCTCTTCCTTGAAGGGTAGCTGGAGCCTCTCATGTGCTTGGTCATATGATCCTGGGCAGTAGTAACTTACAACAAACTTGTATGGAGCATTACCAGGAGCTAGTCATCTGTTAAGCATTTTGCATACCCTGTTTTGTGTAATCCTCACCACCCCTTTTAAGAAGATTTTTTTTTTTAAGACAGAGTTTCGCTCTTGTTGCCCAGGCTGGAGTGCAATGGCGCGATCTCAGCTCACCGCAATCTCCGCCTCCCGGGTTCAAGCGATTCTCCTGCCTCAGCCTCCCTAGTAGCTGGGATTACAGTCATGTGCCACCATGCCCGGCTAATTTTTGTATTTTAGTAGAGACAGGGTTTCTCCATGTTGGTCAGGCTGGTCTCGAACTCCCGACCTCAGGTGATCTGCCTGCCTTGGCCTTCCAAAGTGCTGGGATTACAGGTGTGAGCCACCGTGCCCGGCCTGATTTTTTTTTTTTTTTTTAAGACAGAGTCTCACTCTGTTGCCCAGGCTAGAATGCAGTAGTGTGATCTTGGCTCCCTGCAGCCTCGACCTTCCAGGCTCAGGTGAACTTCCCACCTCAGCCTCCTGAGTAGCTGGGACTACAGGAATGTGCCACCACATCCAGCTAATTTTTTGTATTTTTGTAGTAACCAGGTTTTGCCATGTTTCCCAGGCTGGTCTTGAACTCCTGGGCTCAAGCAATCGGCCCATCTCGGCCTCTCAAAATGCTGGGATTACAGGTGTGAGCCATGGTGCCCGAGTGATTTTTTATTTATTTTTTTTGACACAGGGTCTCACTCTGTCACCCAGGCTGCAGTGCAGTGATTTGTCACAGCTGACTGCAGCCTCGACCTCCCCAGGCTCAGGTGATCCTCCCACCTCAGCCTCCCGAGTAGTTGAGACTACAGGCAGCGTCACCAAGCCCAGCTAATTTTTTTTTTTCGAGACAAAGTTTCGCTCTTGTTGCCCAGGCTGGAGTGCAATGGCACCATCTTGACTCACCACAACCTCCGCCTCCCGGGTTCAAGTGATTCTCCTGCCTCAGCATCCCGAGTAGCTGGGATTATAGGTGCCTGCTACCACGCCTAGCTAAATTTTATATTTTTAGTAGAGCTGGGATTACAGTCGTGAGCCACAGTGCCCAGCCCCAACTTTGATATAAATACCTGAAATCAGAGGATATGTTTTGATGGTTAGAAGGTAGTGCTTGCTTCTTAGTACCAATAGAGCTGGCTGGGTCCACCTGTTCTTTGCGCTGGTCTCAGTTTACCTAGATTGAGCAGGTACTACTTTTTCTGTCTGCAAGTCTGTGTGTGCCCTGCCCTCTAGCGGTACTGGGGTTACACTGCAGCAGTGACCTTGAGTGTACCTAATTTTACCTCTTGAAATTCTCCTTTCCTCCCGAGAATAGAGATGTCCTAGCAATATTGGGAACTGGCGCACTGGGATTCCTGGGGCCTCAAACCCTGGCCCAATCTGAGCCCTAGGGCAGTAGTTTTCAAATTTTAGGGCATAATTCTTTTTTTTTTTTTTTCTTGATACGGAGTCTGACTCTGTCGCCCAGGCTGGAGTGCTGTGGCACGATCTCGGCTCACTGCAACCTTCACCGCCCAGGTTCAAGCAATTCTCCTGCCTCAGCCTCCCGAGTACCTGGGATTACAGGCGCCTGGCTAACTTTTGTATTTTTAGTAGAGATGGGGTTTCACCATGTTGGCCAGGCTGGTCTCAAATTCCTGACCTCAGATGATCCGCCCGCCTCCGCCTCCCAAAGTGCTGGAATTACAGGCGTGAGCCACCATGCCCGGCCCTTTAGGGCATAATTCTAATTCAGGAGTCTGGAGTGAGATACAGCTATCTAAATGTTTAACAAGTACGCGAGGTAATTCTGATGCAGCAACCTTCAGGCTATGTCTTGAGAAGCAACGTCTGTAACAGCTCTCTTCCGGAATTTCCCTCTCACTGCCCCCAGTAAGCGTGTTCCCTGAATCCCAATGCAAGCACCTTTGGGCTCTGGGGAATCTCAGACCAAATTAGCCGCTCCCCTTGGCCAGCCTCAGTATTGGGTTTCCGGGAGGTCATGTCTTGGATAGTCAGGGACAGAGGCTGCAGCTGCCCCACCAGTCAGCCCATGTTGAGCGGGGTCAGCTCTTGCTAATCCGGCAGGGAGAAAAGTAGTGCACCAGCTGCGGACCAGTGTGGCAGGTACTATGCTAGGTGTTTTCTAATTAAATCTACGCTAGGTGTTTTCTAATTAAATCTACGCTAGGTGTTTTCTAATTAAATCTATGCTAGGTGTTTTCTAATTAAATTTGTTTTTCGTTTTTTTCTGAGATGGAGTCACATTCTGTCACCTAGGCTGGAGTGCAGTGGCGCCATCTTGGCTCACTGCAACCTCTGCCTCGGCCTCCTGAGTAGCTGGGACCACAGATACCACCACACCTGGCTAATGTTTTGTATTTTGGGTAGAGCTAGAGTTTCATCATGTTGCCCAGGCTGGTCTCGAACTCCTGAGCTCAAGCAATCTGCCTGCCTCAGCCTCCCAAAGTGCTACAATTACAGGTGTGAGCCACCTCGCCAGGCCATTTTTTAATTTTTTTTTTTTTTAAAGAGGGTCTTGCCACGTTGCCCAGGCTGGTCTTGAACTCCTGGGCTCAAAGTGATCCACCTGCTTCGGCCTCCCAAAGTGCTGGGATTACAGGTATGAGCCACTGTGCCTGGCCACATTTTTAATTTTTTTTTTTGTTTTGTTTTTTTGAGACGGAGTCTTGCTCTGTCACCCAGGCTGGAGTGCAGTGGCCCAATCTTGGCTCACTGCAAAGCTCCGCCTCCTGGGTTCACGCCACTCTCCTGCCTCAGCCTCCCAAGTAGCTGGGCACTACAGGCGCCCGCCACCACGCCCGGCTAATTGTTTGTATGTTTATTAGAGACGGGGTTTCACAGTGTTAGCCAGGATGTTCTCCATCTCCTGACCTCGTGATCCGCCTGCCTCAGCCTCCCAAAGTGCTGGGATTACAGGCATGAGCCACCGCGCCCGGGCACATTTTTAACTTTTAAAATATTTTTAAATGTTGAAATCCCTACAACAAGGCTTGAATTCCTTATTCACCGTATGTTGTAGATGAGGGGAAATTATCGGTAACAAGTTCACAGCTAGTAAGAGCTGGAATTTGAATCTAAGTGTGCCTAACACAGTAGTTCTCAGTTGGAGGAGATTTTGGCCCCTAGGAGACATTTGGTAACGTCTGGAGATACTTTTGGTTGTCAAAACTGGGAGCTGGGGGTGGGTGGGTGTTGCCACTGACATCTAGGACAGAGGCCAGGGACCACGTGGATGTCCTATTGTGCACCCGGTAGCCCTCCCACAAGAAATTATTCTACTTAAAATGCCAGTGGGTGCTGAGGTGGCGAAACCCTGGACTTGAAGCCTGTGCTTTTGACCTAGGGGGTGGGGTCAGTGTTCAGAACAAAATGGAAAAGGGTCACCCCAAGGGCCGTGAGTGGGAAAGGGATGGGATTTCTATGCTCAGGATAATGGAGAATAGGGGCCACTGGTGAGGCTTCACTTCCTTCCATGCTTGGCCAGGGCCCTGCTCAATTTCTCCACGCCTTGCCAAGTCAGTCCTAGGACTTCACACTAAGCTTGTCCTGGAGTGACCCTGACTCCCAACTCAGGATCGAGGCAAAATATTTACCTGGGTCTTCCCAGCACTTCCCAGCCAAAGACGCTGGCTTCTGGGGCCAACGTGTCCCACCTGCAGTCCTTGAGCAATTAGGACCCTTGCTATGGGGGGTGGCCATGTGGGCAGGGCACCGCCAAAAGCCAAAAATGGAGCGGCCCAGGGACCAGGTGGCAGCTGAGAACAGTTAGAAGTGGAGTGAATGCGGCCGGGCGCGGTGGCTCACACGCCTATAATCCTAGCACTTTGGGAGACCGAGGCGGGTGGATCACCTGAGGTGAGGAGTTCGAGACCAGCCTGGCCCACATGGCAAAACACCATCTCTACTAAAAATACAAAAATTAGCTGGGAGTGGTAGCGCACGCCTGTAATCCCAGCTACTCAGGAGGCTGAAGGAGGAGAATCGCTTGAACCCGGGAGGTGGAGGTTGCAGTGAGCCGAGATCGCGCCACTGCACTCCAGCCTGGGCAACAGAGCGAGACTCTGTCTCAAAAACAGAAAAAAAATAAATAAATAAGGAGGTGGAGTAAATGGGCAAAAGCAGGAGGATCCCATCAGCAGACACCTGTCCATGGAGGAATAGGGCAACTTGAGTAGGAAGTAGGGGGCGGCTGGCCTGAGAAGCAGCGTTCTGAACCCCAAGTTTGCTTCCCATAGCCATTCCTCCTCCCCAGGCTTGGTCCTCGGGTTCACTGTACCCTCCCCAGCGCCAGCCACCATTCTGGACCTCCCCAGTACTGGCCTTCCCCTAGACCAGGGAGGGTCTAGACCACAGAGTCTGAATTTACTGTGCTAACAGGAAATACCTCTCTTTCCAAGCCCAGAGCCTCTGAAGAACTAAGGAGCAGAGCGGGGTTGGGGTTGGGGGAGACAGTCTTGGAGTGATGGGGGAAAAGAAAGATCATACAATCACATCCCCCACGTTCTTTCCTTCACCACCCATGGGAGTGGATAAGGGGATGGAGGAGGGTAAGCAAGGAGGAGGATGTGGTAACAGCTGATTCGTCCCCAGAGGTCACACTTTCCAACAATCAGCTGTTACTGGGGCGCAAGGCAGGAAGTTTCCTTAAAGGCGCAATGTCCTGAACGCAGGCTCAGAATTTTGGAGCTCCAAGTGAACCTTATCAATTACCTGATGGAGTGCGTATTTAACAGAAGGAAGGATCTCACCCTCCAGCCTCATCATTCCTGCTTAGTTACCCTCAGCCCCTATTTGGAGCTGAAGGAAAAGGCATGGATTTCAGTCCACATGTTCCTCTTTGGGGGACTTGCGGGGATTGATAAGGTAGGGCAGGTCTCCGGCTTGCCCCTTTAAAAACGCCGACCAGCAGCTTTTGCCAAGTCACTGGGTTCATTTCACTTTTTGCCCATCCCCCGCTCATCTAGACTCTGATTGGCCCCTGGGGAAGGAGCAGCCTGCTCATTGGTCTCCACCTTCGAATCTCTTCCCTAAGTAGGCCTGAGTCAGTGAAGAGCTTTGGAGGGCGGGACTGAATGGGGGTTAATCAGAGGATGCGATTGCTGACCCTTTGCACTTTGGCATGGCCCATCCCCTAATTTCTGACCAGAAGCCCTCCCTCTACCCTAAGGTGAGGACTGTGCTATGAATCTTTTGTTAGAAAGCTACCTCTTGGGAGGCTCTGGGGGCTCTTCTGGGACTGGGAAGAGACATCCAAGAAAAAAAGCCTCCTGTGGTTAGGAAGAGCCCCCAGGAGGAGTGGGCTGGGCGAGGCGAGCACCCTCCCTCCTCCAAAAACCCTGGAGAGCTCTCCAACGGCAGTCTCTGCTGCCCTGGGGGCTGACGCTCTGCCCACTCCTGCTCCTTGGTCCGCTCCACCTTTCCTTAAAGAGCTATAGCGTCCCGCAGAGGCCGGCGAGTCAGTTTGGGGAATGTCTAAAAGAAGCACTCACGACTCCAACAAGGAGGGGCTGTCGCCCTTTAAGGACTTCCCCGGGCTGGATTCCGAGCTCAGTTTAAAAATGCCAACTCACAGAGCGCGCTGGGTTCTGGGAACGACGGTGTCAGGCTGAGAACTACACGGACCAGCATGCATTGCAAACGCAGACGCCGTGGCTTTCGCCTGCTCTTTAGGACTCTCGTTTGACGTAGCGCTTTTCTAAGCGGGTCGCTGACGCGGAGGGCTGGGCCACACCTGTCCGTCTATTGGCCGGCTCCTCAGTGGGTGGGCGTGGCTTCGTGCAATTCCGCCCGGCAAAAGGGTGGCCTCCTTGCCAATCAGAGCCAGGGCGCCCGGAGAGGCGGGACCAGGGCGAGGCCCCGTCGGCCCCCGGGTGGGCGGGGCCACGTTGCCCAGCAGTGGGCGGTGATTGGCCCCGGGCCGTGCATTCGCAGCTCGTGCGTCACGACGCCGCCAGCTGATCGGAGCCTGGAGCCGGTGTGTGCTGGGTGCCGAGAAGAGACAGCGCCGCCGGCCGTGGGGAGCGGACGCAGTGATTTGCTCCCCCTCGTGCAGCAACCCCCACACCCAGCACCAGGTGGGTGTGAGCTGGCGACCCGGTCACGCAGCGGGGAGCCGCGGTAACGGGATGGAGGGTGAAAGTGGGGTCCGGGCGGCCACACCCAGCCCTTCCGGGAGGAGAAGGGGCGGCGGGGGCAGGGGCGCCTCGGGGAGAGGGGCCTGGACTGGCCGGGTTAGTGTGTCAGGAGCTACGAGGAAAGAGTCTGGGACGGGAGTCGTGGCGGAAGGGCTGGCGGAGTGGCGGGGGGCGGGGGGAGAGCCGAGGGGCCGGAGGGCCGGGGGCGGCTCACCCGGCGGCCCCCGGTCTGAGGATACAGGGGCCGGCCATCTAGCCTGGGGAGGGTCTGGACCCCCCGAGCGGGCGGCGAGGAGGTGCTTTGCCTCTGCCGGCGTTCACTGGGTCAGGGCCAGTTCAGCGCCCTGGCAGGGAAGGGGTCGCTGGGCGGGCCGGCCCCTCCTCTCGTTCTCTCCAGGGGATGTTATGTAAGGGGGGAGGGGAGAGGAGTAGGGGGCGGCGGTGCCGGGGCCTTATGCAACCCAAAGGTTAGGGTTTCACCGTGGTTGGGCGGGGGGAAGAGGGCAAGAGGAGGGCCTGGAAACTCTAACCCCCGCTCCCCAGACTAACTGGCCGTCTTGGGCCGAGAGAAGGTCACCTCTGCACCTCCCCCCAGCCTGTCCGATTGTGAGGCCCCTAGCCCAGGCCTGGCCCTGACTGCCTGGGAAGCCGGCTGGCTGGGTGGGGCGCCTGGGTTAGTCATCACTGGGCTGCCTCTCTCCCCACCTCTCGGCCAACTCTTGGCCCCTCCCCATGGCCTCCGGCGAGGCTGTCACCCCCACCTCCCTCCGGCCCTGGTTCCAGCCTCCAACTCCTTTGGCCTGTCATCCTGGCTGTCAGATTGGGCTAGGAGCTGTCAGAGTGCCAGAGGGTTGATGGAGCAGCTGGTCAGAGGGTCAGTGCCCTGGGCCCACCCCGCCCTGCAGCCAAGGGCACCTGCTTGGCACAGACTCTCAGCAGCTGCTGAGTCCTCTGGGTTGAACAGAGCTATCTCAGACAGAGGAAGGTCGGACGGAGTTGGACTGGTCACCCAGGGGAAGGAAGATACACAAAGTTCATGCCTCCCAAGAGGGTTTCGGAATTTGAACCGCACCCCGTATCCCCCAATCTTTCTTACCCTCTGAGTATAGAAATTCCAAGGCAAGACCGCCTTGGCCCCTCAGCCTGGCGTGGGCCATGCCCTTGGACTGAGTGTCAGCACGGACCCGCCCTCCCCAGCTCACATCCCCCGAGCCTGCCACGCCCCCAGCCCCCTCCCTGGGCCATGCTGCAGGGCCCGGCTTTTCCTGCTGATTCATGCGTTGGAACTGTGGGGGCGGGGCTTGGAACTTGGAACAAAGTTCAGACATGGAGGGGCCGGCAGACAGCCTGGAATTCATACCAGATGTACCCGGAATGCGCAAGCGGAATGCCTGGCATCTGAGAGTCCTGGGGAAGCTGCCCAGCCACCCTGCCCATACCTCCCTCCCCTCCAGCCTGTGGTCCCCTGCCCGCCCCTCACAGCCCCGGCCACCCTGCCGATACCTCCCTCCTCTCCAGCCTGTGGTCCCCTGTCCGCCCCTCACAGCCCCGGGGGCCTCTGCTGACCTTCTTTCAAACGCTAGGCCTCCTCCCTTCCTCACTCTTCCCCAATCCAGGCCCCCAGAACTCTCCTTCCAGCTGAACTCCCTGGGAACAAGTCAGTTGGGCTGATCACTGAACTCACATTTCTGGACCTGAGGTACCACACTTCTAGTACCTGCGTGCTGGTGGGGTGTGTCCAGGGTCCCGGGCCCCACCCTGTCTGAATGCTGAGGAGGCTGGGCCCCCAGGGGCCGCTAGGGCAGGGGAGGGTGAGAGCAGGACTGGGTTTCTCTAGACTCCAGTTCTGGAAAGAAGAGCAAGGGAAGTCTGTTTACAGCCACCTCTTGCTGCTCAGCGAGGTTAACAGCTTCCGCGGGCCCAGATCAGAGCTGCAGCCCTGCATTAGAATCTCAGAGGTCTACTGGGGCAGGACCCTGATGGCCAGCGAGTGGGTCAGCGTTGCAGCAACATGCCCTGCTCAGATCTTTCCCATTTTCCCTCCCTTTCCCTTAGGAGCCTGTTCCTCTCACGCCCTCACCTGGCTGAGCCGCAGTAGTTCTTCAGTGGCAAGCTTTATGTCCTGACCCAGCTAAAGCTGCCAGTTGAAGAACTGTTGCCCTCTGCCCCTGGCTTCGAGGAGGAGGAGGAGCTGCTTTCCCCATCATCTGGAAGGTGACAGAAATGGGCTGGGAAGGTCCGAACAGCAGGGTGGATGATACGTTTTGGGCAAGTTGGAGAGCCTTTGCCCAGATTGGCCCAGCAAGGAGCGGTTTTAGATTAGAGACACTGGCTGGATTGAGGAGTAGAAGGCTCAAACAACCCAAGGTTAGTTGGTCTTTGTGTGACAGTGGGAAGAAGTGGAGAGAACACTCTGTCTCCCCGACTTCCTTCTTGACCCTCCTTCCGTATCTTTCATTCTTCCCCACTGGCCTTTCCAGATGAGGTCCAAAAGTAAGCTCACTCTTCAGGGAAAAGTGATACTAAACCCAGGCGTGAGGAGTCATCCTTCTGCTCTTACTTTTCCCTGCATTTCCTTAGGCTGGCCCAGACTCTAGATTCCTGGGCACTTACCTGTATCTGAGACCCTTAGACCTCCTGTCTCAGTTTCTCCACCTGTGAGATGGGCAGTCACACAGATGAGTGTGCATGAGGGAATCAGAAGCCCATCTGGGTTGACTCAGAACCCGGGCTCTCCCCCTGCTGTGGGTGGAAACAAAACACCTTTTCACAGAAGCTGTTGTCCCTCCCCCATCCCTGATACCATCACCCAGAAGCTGGGTGGGGAATGGGAAGCTGGAGGAGGGGGTTAGAGTTAGACCAATGCGAGGAGCTAGTAAGAGCTCGCCTCTCCGTGACTTCCCCCCATGCAAGGGTGGCCCAAGGCTTCCCCTGATATCCAAAGCAGGACAGCAGCCCCTTGGTGGGATTCTAACTGCTGCTACTCTGTTTCTTTCCTCACTTTGCTTTCCAAGGTGGTATGTGATCCCCAGCTCAGGCCTGTGCAGACAGGAAATTCTCCCCTGCAGCAAGTAGGGGAGGTGGGTTGTGGGATGTGACCTCCTTCCAGATATCAGGCAGTGAGTGTAAACCTGCCACCTCCAGCCCTGATCCATTCTCACCTAGCGGCTACAGGAAGCTGTGTCTGTTCGATTTGGTGGGAGGAGATGTGCAGGGAGCTGTATCTTGTCCTCCGCTTGTGAAAAACTCAAGGATGTGGAGAAGAGTAGACCGTGGAACCCTGCTCTTCTGCAGCCAAGCTGAGGGGCAGGATGCGTGTGGGACAGTGGTAGAGAAGCAGGGGATAGACTCATAGGCTGCAACAAAGGTGACTCTGTCCCTGGACACTGCCTCCGTACTTTCTCCTTGCTTCACTGGCCACAGCATCTCCCTCCAGCCCTCGCTATGTGCCTCTGCCATCTTCACCCATCATGGAGCAGAGGTGAGGAGAGGCAGCCTGGGAATATGGAGACCAGTGAAGGACCAGGCCTGGAGAGCACAGGGTCCTACCTGGGCATCCAGCAGAGGAGCCCCTAAAGGCCAGGAGCACCCCAAGAGGAGGGAGGGCAGCCAGCCTCCATTGACGGCGAGCCTCCAGCCCTCTCCTACTTTGATCACCATTTCTCTCCAGGCTTTCTGCCTCCGAGATGTGGCACCATAGTGCGGTGCCCTGTGGCTTCACCGCCCTACTTCCACCTCCGCCCAGCCTGTAATGTTTATATAAGCAGCCTCAAGGACCAAGAACCATCTGCGAAAGGACACACACAGGAAATTCATAAAAGAAATCTGAATGGATAAAACCATGAAAAAAAGTATGCTTCATTAGTAATTAAAGAAAGGCAAATAGAGCTGGAAGCATTTTTCCCTTAGCAAACCATAACAGAAAAAAATAAGACCCAATATTGGCAAAGAGACTACTGAAAAAACATTCCCATACATTGCGTGTGGGAGTATACATCGGTGCAGGCTTCCTGGATGACAGTTGGGTGATATGTGTCATGTGGCCTAAAAGCCTCCATGTCATTTGACCTACGAATTCTATCTTTGGGAATTTATCCTAAGAAAATACTTAAGGATTTAGTTAGTGATAAGATGTTCATCCCAGCATTGCAATGGAGAAAAATGGGAAGCAATGGTTTGGTTGGGAATTTATTCCTTTTCTGCTGTAACGAAAGTTTGCAATAGGGGATTGCTTAAGTAAATTATTGTATCTCCATCCAGATGGTGGAGTACCGCGCAGACATTAAAAGTCATGTAAAAGAACATCTGACTGAAAGAAAAATGCTCCTTGAATATTAAAAGGTTGTAAAAATAGTGCATGTTATGTGATTTCAATTTTGTTTTTTAAAATATGGGTGTATGCTTGTATACGTAGAGCAGATAAAAAAGACGGAAGGCATACTAAAAAATGTTGAGTGGTTATCTTTGTATGGTGGAACAAAGTCACTGTAATTTTCATCTTTGGTTTTTCTGTAATTTCCAAATTTTCCACATTTTGTATTTCATATAATATAATTTAAGAGATCAGTGTTATTATTTAAACCTTTGGAGAGGTGGGGGTAGAAGAATGAAGGGAAGACCTCAGCTTTTTGGTGAGAAGGTTTGGTTGGGGCACCTCTTGGTTTATGAACTTAATTCTTTGAAGTAGCTGGAATCCTCCCTCTCAGCCTGCAGGAAACAGCTCTGACTTGCTGACTGTCTGCCAGCTGAAGAGGTGGAGTGGAGTAAGGTGGAAGGAAAGCAGTGCAACCTGGGGCTCTTCAGGTGGTGAGGGGCTGGGGGAGGCTCTTCCTCTTAAGGCTGGAGGGTTCTGGAATCCTAACCGCCCTGCTACTAAGAGCAGGACAGGTCTGTTTTTCTCTTCTGACTCTGTCCCAGCCTTGAAGGGACCCTGTGTTACCTTTCCTTGCCCTCGGATTGAAGATATTCTACCCACCCAACGGGTACCAAGCCCTTGGGGAAGGAAGTGCTTTTCAAGACTGGGGGCCAGCGATTCCCTTTTGCGTCCTCTTCCTAATGAGGCTCCTCCGTAGGGCCGAAAACAATGCTGGGGGTCGGGGCGGGGCCCAGTGGGTCGCTTCTCCAACATGGGGTCTCCTGGGGGTTGTGGGGGAGGGGGAGCAGAACTGCTGGAATTACAGGTTTGCCGGGATATGGTAAAGGCGTGGAAACCTCAGGAGGCCGAAGGGGTGGCTCCAAGAAAGTGGGGCACCCCGTCCCCACCACGGACGCGGGGAGGGAAGTGGGGGCGGCGGCCAGGCTCGGGCAGGTACGAGTGGGCTGCGCTAGCCTCTGCCTTGCAGGGTGTGGCGGTGGGTGGTGATGACGCTCAGCAGGTGAAAGTCGCGGGAGCCGGGAAGAGGTCAAGGTTCGTGGGTGGGGCCCGGGAGTGTCAGTTGAGGTTAGACTGGAGACCCAGGTCTGCAACTCCAGCGCTTCAGGACGCTTGGAGCTGGGGAGGACCCCTATTGGCGAACATCCCGGAGGCCCCCCGAGCTCCAGGGCATGGTCTACTGCCCGGAGCCCCCGAACCGCTCCCCCGGCTGGAGCAAGACGCAATCGGTGGCCAAGGCTCCGGGGGCGGCGGCCCCGCGGCTGCTCCAATCACCGCCCAGGCGAGGGACTGGGCGTGGACGAACGGGGAAAAGTTCCTGCTGATCCCAAAGGCGCGGCGGGGAGGGGAGCCGGGGCCCCAGCCCTGCCGGGAAACGGGTTCCCAGTCCCGGCCGAGAGCGCGGGCGCCGAGGGGACCGACCCGGACTCCCCGCAACCCCCCAACCGCCAGGCCATGGCGCCCACGGGGCTCCTGGTGGCCGGCGCCTCCTTCCTCGCGTTCCGGGGGCTGCACTGGGGGTTGCGGCGGCTGCCCACGCCGGAATCGGCCGCTCGGGACCGCTGGCAGTGGTGGAACCTCTGCGTCTCCCTGGCGCACAGCCTGCTCTCGGGGACCGGGGCGCTGCTCGGGTGCGGGCTTGGGGGCTCGAGGCGCACGGGGCGAGGGCGAGGGGTGGGAGGCTGAGGCCGGGAGACCCGCCGGGCGTCTCCAGAGCTGAGACTGGGGTGGGGGTGCGCACAGGGAGACTGCGGCCGGGGCCTCGAGAGGCTGACCATGCCCCCCCCCATGTCCCCACCCCATGCCCCCAGCCTGTCACTGTACCCTCAGATGGCCGCCGACCCCATCCATGGCCACCCGCGCTGGGCTCTGGTGCTGGTGGCTGTGTCTGTGGGTGAGTCTGCAGGGAAGGCTGGGCCGGTGGTGGGGATGGGGCGGGGGGCAGGTTCTGCTGTCCTTCCAGGTCCATTCCCCGCCCCCATGGGGGTTAAACGTTCCTGAAGGCTTTACCAAGGGAAAACTAAGAACTGGGAGAGGGGCGGGGCGGGGGGGCTGGAAATCCTCTCTAAGCTGCCCGGGCTCTGGAGCAGCCTAACCCCTACCCCCATGCCCACAGGTTACTTCCTGGCAGACGGAGCTGACCTGCTGTGGAACCAGACCTTGGGCAAGACCTGGGATCTTCTCTGTCATCATTTGGTGGTGAGACTCTGAGGGCAGAAGCCAGACAGGAAGGGAGGAGGGGAGCCCTGTCCAGCCCGAGGTTCCCAGTCTCTCCTCATTCTTTTTTTTTTTTTTTTTTTTTTTTTTTGAGACGGAGTCTCACTCTGTCACCCAGGCTGGGGTCCAGTGGTTCGGCCTCTGTTCACTGCAACCTTCGCCTCCTGGGTTCAAGCAATTCTCCTGCCTCAGCCTCCCACGTAGCTGGGATTACAGGCACCCGCCACCACGCCCAAGTAATTTTTTGTATTTTTAGTAAAGACGGGGTTTCTCCATGTTGGCCAGGCTGGTCTCGAACTTCTGACCTCAGGTGATCCGCCCACTTCAGCCTTCCAAAGTGCTGGGATTACAAGCATGAGCCACCGCCCCCGGCCCTCTCTTCATTTTGCTGTCCTATAATTTCCCACAGTCTCTGCCCCCAGCTGGTGCTTGGCTCCCAGTCTTAGGCTGAGTTAGGGGGAGGAGGTGGCTGCTGGCCACAGCTGGGGAGTCCAGATACCCACCAGGCCAGGGCACCTACCATGCCAGGGCACTCACCATACAAGGGCACCCACCATGCCAGGGCACCCACCATGTGAGCCTAAGGAGTTTGGGTGCCCCCACAGGTGTCCAGCTGATCACAGAAATGTGGAATATGGAGCTTTTCTGAGAAGGGGGTGTCCTGGTATAGGGTGTGGGTATGGGGCATGAAAGCCCTAGGCCAGGCACGGTGGCTTATGCCTATAATCCCAGCACACTGGGAGGCCGAGGCGGGTGGATCACGAGGTCAGGAGATCGAGACCATCCTGACTAACAGTGAAACCCCGTCTCTACTAAAAATACAAAAATTACCTGGGTGTGGTGGCGCGCACCGGTAGTCCCAGCTACTCTGGAAGCTGAGGCAGGAGAATTGCTTGAACCCAGGAGGCAGAGGTTGCAGTGAGCCAAGATCACACCACTGCACTCCAGCCTGGTGGCAGAGTGAGAGTCTGTCTCGAAAAAAAAAAAAAAAAAAAAAAAAAGCAAGCAAGCCCAGGAATGGGAGGTTAAGGGGGTATTAGGGGGTGAGACAGCCCCTCCCTGGGCCAAGCCTGGTTCCATCTATGGAAGGGTTGTTTCAAGGCTGCTCAGGGCCCCAGGATAAAGGTAAAAGCATAAAGGTCAGGTGTTTGGGGAGCCCCACAGACTGCGTGGAAGCCTCTTTCTTCAGGCCTGGGTTATTGGGACATGATGGCTGGCAGGTCATGGGGTTCCTCTGACCTGTGACCCTGGCTCCCAGGTGGTGAGCTGCCTCAGCACCGCTGTTCTGTCTGGCCACTACGTGGGCTTCTCCATGGTGTCTCTGCTCCTGGAACTGAACTCTGCCTGCTTGCACCTGCGGAAGCTGCTGTTGCTTTCTCGCCAGGCCCCATCCCTGGCCTTCAGCGTGACCAGCTGGGCCTCCTTGGCCACCTTGGCCCTCTTCCGCCTGGTCCCGCTGGGGTGGATGAGTCTGTGGCTGTTCCGGCAGCACCACCAGGTTCCTCTTGCTCTGGTCACCCTGGGTGGAATTGGGCTGGTCACTGTGGGCATCATGAGCATCATATTGGGGATCCGTATTCTGGTCAATGATGTCCTACAGTCTCGACCCCATCCACCCAGCCCTGGCCATGAGAAAACCAGGGGGACCAGGACACGTCGTGACAATGGACCTGTCACCAGCAACAGTTCGACTCTCAGCCTGAAAGACTAGAGAGAAGCCATGGGCCCCTCGCTGGGGGAGGTGGGGCCAGGACAAGGAGATGAGGGTCTTCCATGCACAGTCCCCCATCAGGGTGAGGGCCAGACTTGCTCATCAGAATCTCAGTTTCTCTTCCAGCTAACTCACATCCCTTCCCCTTCCTCGGATCTAAGAAGAAATGCTGATGTTGGATGGGTGGGAACCTGGGTTTCTGTTCACTGAAATCCGTCATCAGATGAGCATCCTTTCCAGCAAATAAACTCAAGAGGTACAGCTAGAGCTATCAGTAAAGGGTGGCAGGAGGCATGCAGCTGGAAGAAACTGCCAGTGGAGACAGAAGCTCTTTGCTTTAACCCAGGGACAGATGGGGGAAGGTGAAGTCCCACTAGGATCAGAGAGATCTGGTATGGGGCGGGTGGGGACAGAGAGAAAAGAGATCTCACCTATAACCAAATTCTGGCAGTGGGAGGAAGGTAGAGGAGGTGCTATCTGTAGCAGCAGAGATGGACGTGATAGTTGCCAAGAGACAGAACCTGGGCCACAGCAATTGCTGCTGATGTTTCTGGTTCTCAAAGCCACACTCCTGTTTTTCTTTTTCTTTTTCTTTTTTTTTATGAGACGGAATCTTACTCTGTCACCCAGGCTGGAGTGTAGTGGCACGATTTCGGCTCACTGCAACCTCAGCCTCCTGGGTTCAAGTGATTGTCCTGCCTTAGCCTCCCGAGTAGCTGTGACTTCAGGCATGCACCACCAAGCCCAGCTAATTTTTGTATTTTTTGGTGGAGAGGAGGTTTCACCATGTTGCCCAGGCTGGTCTCGAACTCCTGACCTCAAGTAATCCACCTGCCTCGGCCTCCCAGAGTGCTGGGATTACAGACGTGAGAACAGGCGCACACTCCTGTTTTTCTCCTTAACCCTGGTCCTGCTGTGTCTAGCCTTTTATTTTTATTTTTATTTTTAGTATCTTTTGACTTTTCTTTTTTCTTTTCTTTTTTTTTTTTTTTTTTTGAGACAAGTTCTTGCTCTGTTGCCCAGGATGGAGTGCAGTGGCTTGATCTTGGCTCACTGCAATCTCTGCCTCCCAGGCTCAAGCAATTCTCCTGCCTCCCACCTCAGCCTCCCAAGTAGCTGGGACTACAGGTGCACGCCACTGCACCAGGCTAATTTTTGTATTTTTTTGTAGAGACCAGGTTTTGCCATGTTGCCCAGGCTGGTCTCAAACTTTTGCACTCAAGTGATCCACCCACCTCAGCCTCCCAAAGTGCTGGGATTACAGACGTGAGCCACCGTACCCGACCCCTTTTGACTTTTCAAAGACAATTCGGATTCTTAGAGGAATGAACACAGGGCTGGTTTGTCTTCTTAGGACGGCACTGAAGTCTAGAATTACAGAAGGAAAGGTGCCCAGTACAGAGTTTTCCCAGGCCCAGGCTTTCATGGAAGAACAAGGGCAGAGGTAGACTGTGTGAGAGAAGGCTGCAGGAGGATAAAGGAATAGCTGGCCCTCTGGCTGGGCGCAGCAGCTCACGCCTGTAATCCCAGCACTTTGGGAGGCCGAGGCGGGAGGATCACCTGAGGTCAGGAGTTCAAGACCAGCCTGGTCAACATGGTGAAACCCTGTCTCTACTAAAAATACAAAATTAGCCGGGCATGGTGGTGCATGCCTGTAATCCCAGCTACTCAGGAGGCTGAGGCAGGAGAATCGCTTGAACCCAGGAGGCAGAGGTTGCAGTGAGCCGAGGTCGTGCCACTGCACTCCAGCCTGGGCAAACAGAGTGAGACTCTTGTCTCTAAAGAAAAAAAAAAAAGGAAGAGCTGGGACTTTTCTGAGATACATTCATAAAGTCTTCTTCCTCCCTGCTGCTTCTGCTGCGTTTTTTTCTGTTGAACAAGACCCCTTCCTTCCCAGAACATCGAGGTGACGGGAAGTGCCCAGCAGATTAAGTCTGCTGTTCCACTAAACAATGGACTGAGAGAGGCAACCCTTAGCCATCCACAGAAAAGCTACATGAGCAAAAGCAAGAGACAGGAAGATTGTCTTCAAAAAAAAACAAAACAAAACAAAAACCTTGCTAAGAAGCGGAGGTACAGAAAGATACGAAGAATGACAGAGACAGACATACATAGATTGAGTGATAGATAGAAAGAGAGAAGGATTATTCACATAGAGGTGACAGAGGCAAAGAAGGATGGAGGGCAAAAGAGACAGGCCCTAGCAGAAATATGGAGAAAGGCTGTCATAGATCCTGAGAGACACCAAAGTCACAGAACTGATAAAAGGGTTATAAACAAAAAGGACCAGAAAAATAGAAATGAAGGCCGACAAGAAGAGACCCCAAGGCTGAAAGGCACAGAGAGTCTAGACAGTGAAATAGAGTGAGTGACAAGGAGAAACACCCAGGCTCAGGAGTGATGGAGGAAATACTGGCAGATAGAGAGATCAGAAGAGCAAGAGGAGAGGTGGGAACAGAGAAGAGCGGGGACGAGTCCGGGGAGCTGAGAAGCAGAAGGCGGAGGAGGCAGTCAGTGGGAAGATTCACTGACAGAAGAGACCAGGAGATATGGGGACTTGGAGGCAGGCAGAAAGACAAAGGACAAACAGCTGCAGCGCAAACCCTAAAGACAGGCTGACAGTAACCGGTCGGCAGAGACTGGTAGGAAGATAAGGACAAGTCAGAATCAGGGGTGTCAACTGAGATGCAAATATAGGCAAAGGAGCTGACAAAGAGAATCACAGAGAGAAAAAAAAGGAGGAGAGCACAGAACAATTTAAATATCCAGGCTGGGCATGGTGGGTCACGCCTGTAATCCCAGCATTTTGGGAGGCCGAGGCAGGCGGATCACGAGGTCAGGAGATGACCATCCTGGCTAACATGGTGAAACACCATCTCTACTAAAAATACAAAAAATTGGCCGGGCGTGGTGGCAGGCGCCCGTAATCCCGGCTACTGAGGAGGCTGAGGCAGGAGAATCGTTTGAACCTGGGAGGCCGAGGTTGTTATAATGAGCCGAGATAGTGCCACTGCAGTCCAGCAGGGGTGACAGAGTGAGACTCCGTCTCAAAAAAAAAAATTGAATATCCAAAGAACAAAGAAGAGGCAGGAACCCAGAAATGAAAAGAGGAGGAAAAATACAGGTGTGAAAAAAAAATGAGAGGGATTGTGAGAAGTCTCCATCATAGAGTCATAAAAACAGGCGCAAAGGATGAAAATACATCGAGACTGAGGAAAACACAGTTGGAAGGAGCTAAACACAAGCAGAAAATAAGAGCAGAGCATTTAAATGTAATTAGATAAAAACCCAAGAGGCAAAGGTATAGATAGTGAGCTAGAGAAACAATGCAGAATTTTGTCAGAGTCTGTACTTCTAGAAGTCATGTTTGCTGGCTGGGCATGGTGGCTCACGCCTGTAATCCCAGCACTTTGGGAGGCCGAGGTAGGAGGAGTGGTTGAGCTCAGGAGTTCAAGACCAGTCTGGGCAACATATTGAGACCTCCTCTCTACAAAAAAAAAAAATTTTCTTTTTTCTTTCTTTTCTTCTTTTTTTTTTTTTTTTTTTGAGACAGTTTCATTCTTGCTGCCCAGGCTGGAATGCAGTGGCACAATCTTGGCTCACTGCAACCTCCACCTCCTGGACTCAAGTGATTCTCCTGCCTCAGCCTCCCTAGTAGCTGGGATTACAGGTACCCACCACCACACTCGGCTAATTTTTGTGTTTTTAGTAGAGACAGGATTTCACCATATTGGCCAGGCTGGTCTCAAACTCCTGACCTCAGGTGATCCGCCCACCTTGGGCTCCCAAACTACTGGGATTATATGCGTGAGCCAACACACCCGGCCAAAAAAAAATTTTTAATTAAAAAAAAAAGTCATATCTGCAAAACTCAATTTGCCATCTTAACTGAATGCCTTGATTAACAAAAATGTTGTCTGCCTTGAGTTTTTAAAGAAAAAGAAATATGACAAACTCATGTGAGGAATCTATTCCTTAAATATCTGTTGAGGTTGATATGAATTGATTCTAAGTCATACACCTTTTCTTTGGCCACTGGTATACATTCATGATGGTTTGAGTGAGTGTCCCTTTTGGTAATACTTGATAGTGTCTATGAGGCCGGGCGTGGTGGCTCACGCCTGTAATCCCAGCACTTTGGGGGACCGAGGCAGGTGAAATCCCATCTCTACTAAAAATAAAAAAAATTAGCCGGGCGTGGTGGCGGGCGCCTGTAGTCCCAGCTACTCAGGAGGCTGAGGCAGGAGAATGGCATGAACCCGGGAGGCGGAGCTTGCAGTGAGCCAAGATCGTGCCACTGCACTCCAGCCTGGGTGACAGAGCAAGACTCCGTCTTAAAAAATAAATAAATAAATAAATAGACAGATAGATAGATAGATAGTGTCTATGAAGGCTGCCCAAGAACTTGACCATTAGGGAAACATGGCTGTTTCTGTGGATTAACTAGTCAAGCCCATACAGGAAGAGTGAGGTCAGCTCCCAGGTGGGGCAGGATGTAGTGGACGCTTGGAAGAATTTGGGACCACACACGAATTGCTACCATGGTGAGCCAGTGAAACTTGAGGAAGGCAGGACTGGATTGTGATTACAACTGAGTAAGTAGGCAGAGAATTGGAGTGTGGGCAACATAAAGATGATGTGAATCAAAGAAGAATGGTCAATTAAGACCCTAAAAAAAGGACGTTCAAAAATGCAGAGGTTAAAAAAAAAAAAAGCAGAGATTGCCAGATGCTCCATTTGGTAGGAGTCTGCTTAGCACAGTGGTGCTTCGCCAGACTTTACCGTGGCCCAGGGAAATGGTCCTCAAGACGGACTCCATGTCTACCAAGCTACTTGCTAATGATTTCTTTGTCCTCCAGGACAGGGAAGGGGCTTTTCTGGATGGGATACATTGATATTTTATGGCCTTGAAACACTATCCTGATTATAAATTAATAAATTGCTATGCAAATAATTGCATTAGTTGCATCAATCTCTTATGAGCGTGGTTACTTTGAGTTACTTTTTGGCTCCAATGGTGTCCTGATTTACAATTCGATGCTAGATTGTGGAGGCTTTGCCTTGGGAAAGTTTCCACCCTGACGTGTCCTGATACCCTCTATAATCAAAAAGCAACTCCTGGCTGGGTGCAGTGGCTCATGCCTGTAATCCCAGCACTTTGGGAGGCTGAGGCTGGTGGATCACTTGAGGTCAGGGGTTCGAGACCAGCCTGGCCAACATGGTGAACCCTCATCTCTACTAAAAGTATAAAAATTAGCTGGGCGTGGTGGCAGGCGCCTGTAACGCCAGCTACTCGGGAGGCTGAGGCAGGAGAATCATTTGAACTCAGGAGGTGGAGGTTACAGGGAGCTGAGATTGCACCACTGCACTCTAGCCTGGGAGACAGAGCAAGACTGTTTCGAAAAAATAAAAAAAGCAAATCCAGTGTCAGGCGAGTTGGTTGATTCCTGTAATTCCAGCACTTTGGGAGGCTGAGGCTTGGGCCCAGGCGTTCAACACTGGCCTGGGTAACATAGCAAAACCTCATCTTTTTTTTTTTTTTTTTTTTTCTGAGACAGAGTCTCACTCTGCCACCCAGGCTGGAGTGCAGTGGCTCAATCTCAGCTCGCTGCAGCCTCCACCTCCTGGGTTCATACGTTTCTCATGCCTCAGCCTCCCGAGTAGCTGGGACTACAGGCGTGCACCACCACACCTGGCTAATTTTTGTATTTTTAGTAGAGACGGGGTTTCACCATGTTGGCCAGGCTGGTCTCGAACTCCTGACCTCAAGTGATCCGCCCACCTTGGCCTCCCAAAATGCTGGGATTACAGGCGTGAGCCATCACACCCAGCCGGATTCAGAGTTTAGAATGATTTTCTTTTCTTTCTTTTTTTTTGTTTTTTTTGAGATGGAGTCTCGCTCTGTCACCCAGGCTAGAGTGCAGCGGCACGATCTCGGCTCACTGCAAGCTCCGCCTCCCGGGTTCATGCCATTCTCCTGCCTCAGCCTCCCCTCCGCCCGCCCCCCTCCCCCGCGAGTAGCTGGGACTACAGGTGCCCGCCACCACGCCCGGCTAATATTTTGTATTTTTACTAGAGACGGGGTTTCACCGTGTTAGCCAGCATGGTCTCGATCTCCTGACCTTGTGATCCGCCCACCTCGGCCTCCCAAAGTGCTGGGATTACAGGCGTGAGCCACCACGCCCTGCTAATTTTTATATTTTTAGTAGAGATGGGGTTTCACCAAGTTGGCCAGGCTGGTCTCGAACTCCTGACCTCAGGTGATCCACCTGCCTCACCTCCCAAAGTGCTGGGATTACAGGCGTGAGGCACTGCGCCGGGCCTGCAGAATGATTTTCAGTGCCAAGGGTTGAAACCAAAAGAATCTTGTAGCCAAATTAATCCTGAGTCAACAGAAAACTTCATAACTGAACTGTCAAAACTTTATCACATAAAATCTGGATTTTGTTGGGCTGAAAATTAGAAGTCCTCATTTTGCAAAAAACTATGTAAGGGAAGTTACTCTTTAGAGAGGAGCTCTTGTGTTGAAATGAATATTTATTTAGGAGCATCCTCGGCCGAACATTTGTCGTGCCCCTTCCCCATGTCAGGCACCTTTTATTTATTTATTTATTTATTTAATTTTATTTATTTATTTTTGAGACGGAGTTTTGCTCTTGCTGCCCAGGCTGGAGTGCAGTGGCGTGATCTCAGCTCACTGCAACCTCTGCCTTACGATTTCAAGAGATTCTCCTGCCTCAGCCTCCTGAGTAGCAGGGATTACAGGCGCCCGCCACCACGCCCAGCTAATTTTTTTGTATTTTTGGTAGAGACAGGGTTTCACCATGTTGGCCAGGCTGGTTTCAAACTCCTGACCTCGTGATCCGCCTGCCTTGGCCTCCCAAAGTGCTGAGATTACAGGCGTGAGCCACCGTGCCTGGCCATCAGGCACCTTTTACACATTATCCCATTTAATCTCACACAACAGAGCTTCACCTCATCTTTTGTTTTTATTTTTATTTTTTGAGACGGGGTCTCACCCTGTCACCCAGGCTGGAGTACAGTGGTGCAATCGTAGCTCACTGCAGCCTCCAACTCCTGGCTCCTGGGCTCAGGCGATCCTCCTGCCTTAGCCTCCTGAGTAGGTGGGATTACAGACATGCATCACTACACCCAGATACATTTTTTTTTTTTAAATAGAGACAGGGTTTCACCATGTTCCCCAGGCTGGTCTCAAATTGCTGGGCTCAAGCAATCCACCCATCTCAGCCTCCCAAAGTGGTAGGGTTACAGGCATGAGCCACTGCGCCCAGCCATTTTTTTTTAAATTGAGACAGGGTCTCACTCTGTCACCCAGGTTGGAGTGCAGTTGCACAAACATGGCTCACTGCAGCCTTGACCTCCTGGGCTCAAGCGATCCTCCCACCTCAGCCTCCTGAGTAGCTGGGACCACAGGTGTGTGCCACGATGCCTGGCTAATTTAAAAAATCTTTTTTTATTTTTCCAGAGATGGGGTCTTACCATGTTGCCCAGGCTGGTCTCCAACTCCCGGCCTCAAGCAATTCTCCTCCCTTGGCCTCTCAAAGCGCTGAGATTATAGGTGTGAGAGGGAGTCTCACCATGTTGCCCAGGCTGGTCTGGAATCCCTGGGCTCAAGTGATCCTCTTGCCTTGGCCTCCCAAAGTGCTGGGATACACGCATGAGTCACTGCACCTGTTCTCATTCCATCTTTCAGATGAAAAAACAAACAGGCTGGGGCATGGTGGCTCATGCCTGTAATCCCAGTACCTTGGGAGGCCGAGGCAGGCGGATCACTTGAGGCCAGGAGTTTGAGACCAGACTGGCCAACATGGTGAAATCCTGTCTTTACTAAAAATACAAAAATAACTAAGGTGAGGCCGGGCGCGGTAGCTCACGCCTGTAATCCCAGCACTTTGGGAGGCCGAGGCGGGCGGATCGCGAGGTCAGGAGATCAAGACCATCCTGGCTAACACAGCGAAACCCCATCTCTACTAAAAATACAAAAAAATTAGCCGGGCGTGTTGGTGGGCACCTGTGGTCCCAGCTGCAGCTGAGGCAGGGGAATGGCGTGAACCTGGGAGGCGGAACTTGCAGTGAGCTGAGATCGTGCCACTGCACTCCAGCCTGGACAACAGAGTGAGACTCCATCTCAAAAAAAAAAAAATTAGCTAGGTGTGGTGGCAGGTCCCTGTAGTCCCACCTACTTGGGAGGCTGAGGCAGGAGAATAGCTTGAACCCCAGAGGTGGAGGTTGCAGTGAGCCAAGATCGCGCCACTGCACTCCAGCCTGGGCAACAGAACAAGACTCCATCTCAAAAAAAAAAAAAGATTATCCAGTCTGTTCTTTTCATTTTGCAGAGAATTGAAGGAACTGAAGCCTAGAGAGGTTAAGTGACTTATCCAAGCATACTCAGCTAGTCTGTAGCACAGCCCGAATCAGAATCGAGGTCTTTGGTTTGGTTCAGGGCTCTTTCCTATACACTATTTTGCCTCTTTCTTTATAGAAAGGCCACAGAGTGGAGAAATTTCAAGGTAGAAAGGTAGGAGTCAGCTGACAACTAAACATCCATCAAGTCGGATAAATTGCCTCTGAAGTGATATATATAAGTCAGGGTGTTTCAGTTTGAAAGGCAGACTCTAGGCTGGGCACGGTGGCTCACGCCTGTAATCTCAGCACTTTGGGAGGCCGAGGCTGGCAGATCATGAGGTCAGGAGAGCGAGACCATCCTGGCTAACACAGTGAAACCCCGTCTCTAATAAAAATACAAAAAATTAGCCGGGCATGGTGGCGGGCGCCTGTAGTCCCAGCTACTCAGGAGGCTGAGGCAGGAGAATGGAGTGAACCCAGGAGGCGGAGCTTGCAGTGAGCCGAGATGGTGCCACTGCACTCCAGCCTGGGCGATAGAGCGAGACTCTGTCTCAAAAAAAAAAGGCAGACTCCTATGGTCAAGTATTGATTTCTGCACTTTTCAGGAATGCAGTAATTGTGGAGGGCAGAGGTTCATTTCAGCTTTCCTCTGTAGACATGAACATCACTTAGCTTGGTACTGTGGAACATATACTTTTTTTTTTTTTTGAGACGGAGTCTCACTCTGTTGCCCAGGCTGGAGTGCAGTGGCATAATCTCGGCTCTCTGCAACCTCCACCTCCCGGGTTCAAGTGATTCTCCTGCCTCAGCCTCCCGAGTAGCTGGGACTACAGGCACATGCCACCATGCCCAGCTAATTTTTTGTATTTTTAGTAGAGACGGGGTTTCTTTGTTTTTTGTTTTTGTTTTTGTTTTTGTTTTTTTGGAGATGGAGTCTGAAGCCCAGGCTGGAATGCAGTGGCGAGATCTTGGCCCACTGCAGGCTCTGCCTGCCAGGTTCCATTCTCCTGCCTCAACCTCCCGAGTATCTGGGACTCTAGGCGCCAGCCACCACACCCGGCTAATTTTTTGTATTTTTAGTAGAGACGGGGTTTCACTGTGTTAGCCAGGATGGTCTCGATCTCCTGACCTCGTGATCTGCCTGTCTCGGCCTCCAAAAGTGCTAGGATTACAGGCATGAGCCACCGCACCCAGCCGGAGATGGGGTTTCAGCATGTTAGCCAGGATAGTCTCCATCCTCTGACCTCATGATTCGCCCGACTTAGCCTCCCAAAGTGCTGGGATTACAGGCTCGAGCCACTGAGCCCGGCCGATAGTAAATAATTTCTTTGGCTGAGGCTTTGCCCCTCACTCTGGCCTGCCAGTCTGTGCCCTTAAGAGCACTCCCTCATCTCCTAAACCTTCACCGGTTGGCATTGCTAATCCTGGGGCTTGAGAGGCTGGCATGGCAACTCTCTCTGCCTCAGATCCCAGGTCAGGGCACTGCTAGAAGAGGATAGAGAAGCCTGCAGAACTGGAGGGCCACAAATTCCTGCTGCACTGACGCAGGCCAGCCCTGCTACCTAGCTATTCACTTGCTCTCCTTACGGCTTGTCCAAACATCGTTTTCTTCAAACTCCTCCCCTTCCTTCCCCAACCCCGACTGTGTGGAATCCAAATATTTCCACCTCAACAGCAAACAGGAGTGGGGTGCTGGGGAGATGGAGGAGATGGGGGAGGGAAACAGTCTAGGGCCACTGCAGCAGCATTTCCTTGAAATATGTTGAATCTAAAAATTCATATAAGTCCGGCTGCGGTGGCTCACGCCTATAATCCCAGCAGTTTGGGAGGCCAAGGCGGGAAGATGACTTGAGTCCAGAAATTTGAGACCAGCCTGGGCAATATAGTGAGAGCCCCATCTCTACAAATAATAAAAATATTAGCCAGGTGGTCAGGTGCGGTGGCTCATGCCTATAATCCCAGCACTTTTGGGAGGCCGAGATGGGTGGACTGCCTGAGCTCAGGAGTTTGAGACCAGCCTGGGCAACATGGTAAAACCTCGTCTCTACTAAAATACAAAAAATAAAATAAAATAAAATAAAATAAAATAAAATAAAATAAAATAAAATAAAATAAAATTAGCTGGGCGTGATGGCAGGCTCCTGTAGTCCCAGCTACTCGGGAGGCTGAGGCAGGAGAATTGCTTGAACCCAGGAGGCGGAGATTGCAGTGAGCCGAGATCGTGCCACTGCACTCCAGTCTGGCAGACAGAATGAGACTCCATCTCAAAAAAAAAAAAAAAAAAAGCCAGGCACAGTGGTACACATCTACAGTCCTAGCTACTCAGGAGGCTCAGGTGGGAGGTCACTCAGCCTCCTGGAGTTGGAGGCTACAGTAAGTCATGATTGTGTCCTGCACTCCAGCCTGGGCAACAGTGGAGTCTGGAGTCTGTCTGTAAAAAAAATTAAAAAGATAAAATAAAATACCATTTCAAATACAATTACAATACTTGTTTTTAAAAAAAATTTTACAAAATGACAAGTGAAACTGTCAATTTTTTTTTCTTTTTTTTTTTTTTTGAGACGGAGTCTCGCTCTGTCGCCCAGGCTGGAGGGCAGTGGTGCGATCTCGGCTCACTGCAAGCTCCGTCTCCCGGATTCACACCATTCTCCTGTCTCAGCCTCCCGAGTAGCTGGGACTACAGGCGCCTGCCACCACGCCCAGCTAATTTTTTGTACATTTAGTAGAGACGGGGTTTCACCATGTTAGCCAGGATGGTCTCGATCTCCTGACCTCGTGATCTACCCGCTTCGGCCTCCCAAAGTGCTGGGATTACAGGCGTGAGCCACCGTGCCTGGCCCCACGCCTGGCTAACTTTTTTTGTATTTTTAGTGGAGACGGGGTTTCACCGTGTTAACCAGAATGGTCTCGATCTCCTGACCTCATGATCTGCGCGCCTCGGCCTCCAAAAGTGCTGGGATTACAGGCGTGAACCACCGCGCCCGGCCCAATTTTATGATTTAAGGAAGATGTGCCAATTTACTCTGTGGCTCCAAGTATCACTGGGACAGTTCATTTTTCTTTATTCTCTGTCTTTTTTTTGTTTGTTTTTTTGAGATGGAGTTTTGCTCTTGTTGCCCAGGCTGGAGCACAATGGTGCGATCTTGGCTCACTACAACCTCTGCCTCCTGTGTTCAAGCGATTCTCCTGCCTCAGCCTCCCGAGTAGCTGGGATTACAGGCACCTGCCACCATGCCCGGCTGTTTTTTATATTTTTAGTACAGACTAGGTTTCACCATATTGGCCAGGCAGGTCTTGAACTGGTCTCAAGTGATCTGCCCGCCTTGGCCTCCTAAATTGCTGGGATTACAGGCGTGAGCTACCGCACCCAGACTTTATTCTCTTTTTTTTTTTTTTTTTTGAGACGGAGTTTCGCTCTTGTTGCCCAGGCTGGAGCGCAATGGCGCTATTTTGGCTCACGGCAACCTCCGCCTCCCAGGTTCAAGCAATTCTTCTGCCTCAGCCTTCCGAGTAGTTGGGATTACAGGCACCAGCCACCATGCCCGGCTAATTTTTTGTGTTTTTAGTAGAGACGGGGTTTCAGCATGGCCAGGCTGGTCTTGAACTTCTGACCTCAGGTGATGCGCCCACCTCGGTCTTCCAGAGTGCTGGGATTACAGGTGTGAGCCACCTCGCCCAGCTGACTTTATTCTCTTTATAACAAATATTTATAAAGGGCCTACGACATGCCAAGCACAAACTATGAGGTGTAATAGTGAGTCAATGAACCAGAGCCCTGGCATCAGAGAGCCTGCACTCAGGACTGTGTTAGAGAGTGAGGAACTGAGAAAGTAGGAGTCATTCGGCAGAGGGAAACCAGGGGTGACAGATACAGAAACAGGTCATCCTTGGCCGGGTGCGTTGGCTCACGCCTATAATCCTAGCACTTTGGGAGGCCGAGGCAGACGGATCACTTGAGGTCAGAGGTTCAAGACCAGCCTGGTCAACATGGGGAAACCCTGTCTCTACTAAAATTACAAAAATTAGCCAGATGTGGTGGTATGCACCTGTAATCCCAGCTACTCAGGAGGCTGAGGTGGGAGAATCGCTTGAACCCAGGAGGCAGAGGTTGCAGTAAGCCAAGATTGCACCACTGCACTCCAACCTGGGTGACAGAGTGAGATCCTGTCTCTCAAAAAAAAAGGAAAAGAAAAAGAAACTGAAGAAACAGGTCATTCAAGTACCTGTAGCCTGAGAATGAGCAGATGAATCTAGAGGATGGGATGGTTGCATTCTGACATCCAAAGGGTTCTCCAGAACCCGACTCAGGCGCTTTCCTTCCAAACCTGCATCCAGTCCACTCAGTCTGTGCATGACCCTGCCATCGACGCACTGTGCAAATCGGGAACTGAGGAGTCGTCCCTGAACAATGCCACCCACCTCCCACCACAGATGCACACTTCCAGTTATTGCAGGACGGCTTTCCCACCCATCCATCCTTTCCATCTCCGCTGTCCCATCTGGTCCGAGTCACCATCATCTCTAGTCTAAGCGACATAATAATGGCTGGCCGGGCAGGGTGGCTCATGCCTGTAATCCCAGCACTTTGGGAGGCCAAGGCGGGCGGATCACGAGGTCAAGAGATCGAGACCATCCTGGCTAACACGGTGAAACCATGTCTCTACTAAAAATACAAAAAATTAGCTGGGCGTGGTGGCGGGCGCCTGTAGTCCCAGCTACTCGGGAGGCTGAGGCAGGAGAATGGCATGAACCTGGGAGGCGGAGCTTGCAGTGAGCAGAGATCGCACCACTGTACTCCAGCCTGAGCGACAGAGTGAGACTCTGTCTCAAAAAATAAATAAATAAAATAATAATAATAATAGTAATGATAATAATAATAATAATAATGGCCTCGTAACTATTCTCCACAGAACAGCCAGTCTGTGATTGTCACGATGCAAATCTGATCATGTCATTCCCAGTAGCTCTTCCTACTTCTTAAGAAAGAAGCATAACTCATCACATGGTCTGTGGCCTTCCAAGGGCTCCCCTCTTGTCCACTCACCAGACTCAGGGTACTTCCTATTTCATTCTTTTTTTTTTTTTTTTTTTGAGACAGAGTCTCACTCTGTTGCCCAGGTTGGAGTGCAGTGGTGTGATCTCAGCTCACTGCAGCCTCTGCCTCCTGGGTTCAAGCAATTCTCCTGCCTCAGCCTCCTGGGTAGCTGGGATTACAGGCACCTCCCACCACACCTGGCTAATTTTTGTATTTTTAGTAGAGATCAGGTTTCACCATGTTGGCCGGGCTGGTCTCGAACTCCCAACCTCAGATGATCTGCCCACCTCTGCCTCCCAAAGTGCTGGGATTACAGGCATGAGCCACTGTGTCCGGCCCACTCTTGTTTTTTGAGACGGGGTTGTGCTCTGTCACTCAGGCTGAATTGCAGTGGTGCGACCTCGGCTCACTACAACCTCTGCCTCTCAGGTTCAAGCGATCCTCCCACCTCAGCCTCCTGGGTAGCTGGAACTACAAGTGCACACCACACGCCCAGCTGATTTTTTTTCTTTGTATTTTTAGTAAAGATGGGGTTCTGCCATGCGGACCCGGCTGGTCTTCAACTCCAGGACTCAAGTGATCTGCCCACCTTGGCCTCCCAATGTGTTGGGATTACAGGCGTGAGCCACCACACCCAGCCCGTTTCAGTCTCTGTGGCCTTAGTTCATTTATTAAATACACCATGCTCCTTCCTTATTCAGAAATCTATTCCTATTTCATTGCCCAGCGCCTGGTAGGCTTTCCTTCTCCCTCACTTCCATCTTCCTGGCTTCCCTCCTCCTACTCACTCCCTTTGTCTTACACATTCTCATTTTGCAGTGCTTATTTACAACATCTCCTCTTTTTTTTTTGAGACGAAGTCTCACTCTGTCACCAGGCTGGAATGCAGTGGTGTGATCTCAGCTCACCGCAACCTCTTCCTCCTGGGTTCATGCGATTTACTGCCTCAGCCTCCCTAGTAGCTGGGATTACAGGCACCCGCCACCACGCCTGGCTAATTTAGTGTTTTTAGTAGAGACAGGGGTTTCACCACGTTGGCCGGGATGGTCTCGAACTCCTGACCTTTTGATCTGCCCACCTCAGCCTCCTAAAGTGCTGGGATTACAGGCATGAGCCACTGCACCCGGCCTTTTTTTTTTTCAAATTCAGACAGGATCTCATTCTGTTGCCCAGGCTGGAGTGTAGTCTCCAGTACAATCTTGGCTCACTGCAGCCTCCACTTGCTGGGCTCCAGCCATCCTTCCACCTCAGGCCTGAGTAGCGGGGACTACAGGCGTGAGACACCATACCTGGCAAATTTTTGTATTTTTTGTGTTGAGGTTTCGTCATGTTGCCCAGGCTGGTCTTGAACTCTTGACCTCAAGTGATCCTCCTGCCTTCGTCTCCCAAAGTGCTGGGATTACAGGAGTGACCCACGGCAACATCTCTTTTCCCAAAAAAACTTCTATGACTCTTTTCATAAAATCAGGTGAGATCTCTGGACTTCTCATTGGAAGCACTTACTATAATTTTAATTGAAGAGCCAATTATGGACATTTAAAGGAAGCCCCTAACATGAAATAAACTTTTTTAAAAGAAGATGAAGAAAAAGAAAAACACGGATAAAGCAAACAGTATGCCTGGAGAATAAAACTTCAGAAAAGCTATTTTCCTTATAGAGACAAGAGAGTATGTTGTAGCCATGAAACAAGAACATGATCCTACAAAAGAAGAACTAAAAAGAGGTGGGTGCGGTGGCTCACGTCTGTCATCCCAGCACTTCAGGAGGCCGAGGCGGGTGGATCATGAGGTCAGGAGTTCAAGACCCTCCTGGCCAACATGGTGAAACCCCGTCTCTACTAAAAATACAAACAATAGCTGGACGTGGTGGCAGGCGCCTGTAACCCCCAGCTACTCGGGAGGCCGAGGCAGGAGAATCGCTTGAACCCAAGAGGCGGAGGTTGTGGTGAGCCGAGATTGCGCCACTGCACTCCAGCCTGGGCGACAGAGCAAGACTCCGTTTTTTTTAAAAAAAAAAAAACTAAGAAAGAGTACTTAGTATTTGGAAATGAAAAGTGTGACACTTGATGGAAATGAAAAGTTCATGGAGGAGTTGGAAGAAAGTCTCCCGGAAAGAAGAGTAATGATGGGGATAGAATTAGAAAAGATGAGACAATCGTGGGACCAGTCCAAAAGACCCAACATCAAAATAACGGAAGATCCAGAAAGAGCAAACTGAGAAAAGAAAAAAATGAAAATCGTCAATTAAATAATGAGATATGGCCGGGTGTGGTGGCATGCGCCTGTAATCCCAGCCACTCAGGAGGCTGAGGCAGGAGAATAAAGTCCAACTCATCAAGCTTCTCTCTCTTTTTTTTTTTCATTTTTTCCTGAGATGGAGTTTCGCTCTTGTTGCCCAGGCTGGATTGCAATTGCATGATCCCAGCTACTCTCCAGAGTCTGAGGTAGAAGAAGCACTTGAACCCCAGAGGCAGAGGTTGCAGTGAACCCAGATCGCGCCATTGCACTCCAGCCTGGGCAACAGAGCGAGACTCCATCTCAAAAAAAAAAAAAAAAAAAAAAAAAAGTCCAGGCGCCGTGGCCCACATCTGTAATTCCAGCACTTTGGGAGGCCAAGGGGGACAAATCACAATGTCAGGAGTTCAAGACCAGCCTGGCCAACATGGTGAAACCCCATTTCTATTAAAAAGACAAAAAATAGCTGGGCTTGTGATGGCAGGAACCTATAATCCCAGCTGCTTGGGAGACTGAGGCAGGAGAATCGCTTGAACCCGGAAGGCAGAGGTTGCAGTGAGCCGAGATTGTGCCATTGCACTCCATGCACTAACTCCAGCCTGGGCGACAGGGCGAAACTCCATCTCAAAAAAAAAAAAAAAAAAAAAAAAGGCCGGGCGCGGTGGCTCACGCCTGTAATCCCAGCACTTTGGGAGGCCTAGGCGGGTGGATCATGAGGTCAGGAGATCGAGACCATCCTGGCTAACACGGTGAAACCCAGTCTCTACTAAAAATACAAAAAAAAAATTAGCTGGGCATGATGGCGGGTGCCTGTAGTCCCAGCTACTCGGGAGGCTGAGGCAGAAGAATGGCGTGAACCCTGGAGGCAGAGCTTGCAGTGAGCTGGGATCACACCACTGCACTCCAGCCTGGGCGACAGGGCGAGACTCCATCTCAAAAAAAAAAAAAAGAATGGGTAAAGGATCTGAATACATATTTATCCAAAGACGATATACATGCCATAACAATATAACAAGTATGAACCTCAAAAACATCATAAAACATCATGCTGGCCAGGCTTAGTGACATGCACCTGCAGTCTTAGCTATTCTAGAGGCTGAAGTGGGAGGACCCTTTGAGCCCAGGAGTTTGAGGTTATAGTGAGCTATGATAGCACCAATGTACTTGAGCCTGGATGACAGAGTGAGACCTTCATTTCTAAAAAACAAATAACAACAACAACATCAACCACAAAACCATTATGCCAAGTAAAAGCAGACAACCACACACAAAAAAATTCATTATTCTATCATACCATTTATATAAAATGTTGAGAACAGGTGAATCTATAGAGATGGAAAACAGAAAAGTAGTTGCCTAGGGCTGAGGAATAGGAGGTAGGAGGAAATGGGGGAGCGAATGTGTAGAAGATTTCTTTGCTCTCTCCCTCTCCCTCTCCCTCTCCCTCTCCCTCTCCCTCTCCCTCCTCTCCCTCTCCCTCTCCCCACGGTCTCCCTCTCCCTCTCTTTCCACGGTCTCCCTCTCCCTCTCTTTCCACAGTCTCCCTCTCATGCTGAGCCGAAGCTGGACTGTACTGCTGCCATCTCGGCTCACTGCAACCTCCCTGCCTGACTCTCCTGACTCAGCCTGCCGAGTGCCTGCGATTGCAGACTCGCGCCGCCACGCCTGACTGGTTTTGGTGGAGACGGGGTTTCGCTGTGTTGGCCAGGCCGGTCTCCAGCCCCTAACCGCACGTGATCCACCAGCCTCGGCCTCCTGAGGTGCCGGGATTGCAGATGGAGTCTCCTTCACTCAGTGCTCAATGGTGCCCAGGCTGGAGTGCAGTAGCGTGATCTCGGCCCGCTACAACCTCCACCTCCCAGCCGCCTGCCTTGGCCTCCCAAAGTGCCGAGATTGCAGCCTCTGCCCGGCCGCCACCCCGTCTGGGAAGTGAGGAGCATCTCTGCCTGGCCGCCCATCATCTGGGATGTGAGGAGCCCCTCTGCCTGGCTGCCCAGTCTGGAAAGTGAGGAGTGTCTCCGCCCGGCCGCCATCCCACCTAGGAAGTGAGGAGCACCTCTGCCCGGCCGCCATCACATCTGGGATGTGAGGAGCGCCTCTGCCCGGCCGCGACCCCGTCTGGGATGTGAGGAGCACCTCTGCCCGGCCGCCCCGTCTGAGAAGTGAGGAGCCCCTCCGCCTGGCAGCCGCCCCGTCTGGGAAGTGAGGAGCCCCTCCGCCCGGCAGCCGCCCCCTCTGGGAAGTGAGGAGCGTCTCCGCCCGGCAGCCGCCCCATCCGGGAGGGAGGTGGGGGGGTCAGCCCCCCGCCCCACCAGCCGCCCCATCCGGGAGGGAGGTGGGGGGGTCAGCCCCCTGCCCGGCCAGCCGCCCATCCGGGAGGGAGGTAGGGGGGTCAGCCCCCCGCCAGGCCAGCCGCCCCGTCCGGGAGGGAGGTCGGGGCATCAGCCCCCCGCCCGGCCAGCCGCCCCATCCAGGAGGGAGGTGGGGGGGTCAGTCCCCCGCCCGGCCAGCTGCCCCGTCCAGGAGGTGAGGGGCGCCTCTGCCCGGCCGCCCCTACTGGGAAGTGAGGAGCCCCTCTGCCCGGCCAGCCGCCCCATCCGGGAGGGAGGTGGGGGGGTCAGCCCCTCGCCTGGCCAGCCGCCCCGTCCGGGAGGGAGATGGGTGGGGGGGTCAGCCCCCCGCCCGGCCAGCCGCCCCGTCCGGGAGGTGAGGGGCGCCTCTGCCCGGCCGCCCCTACTGGGAAGCGAGGAGCCCCTCTGCCCGGCCAGCCGCCCCGTCCGGGATGGAGGTGGGGGGGTCAGCCCCCCGCCCGGCCAGCCGCCCCATCCGGGAGGTGAGGGGCGCCTCTGCCCGGCCGCCCCTACTGGGAAGCGAGGAGCCTCTCTGCCCGGCCAGCCGCCCCATCTGGGAGAGAGGTGGGGGGGTCAGCCCCCCGCCCGGCCAGCCCCCCCATCCGGGAAGTGAGGGGCGCCTCTGCCCGGCCGCCCCTACTGGGAAGTGAGGAGCCCCTCTGCCCGGCCACCACCCCGTCTGGGAGGTGTGCCCAACAGCTCATTGAGAACGGGCCAGGATGACAATGGCGGCTTTGTGGAATAGAAAGGCAGGAAAGGTGGGGAAAAGATTGAGAAATCGGATGGTTGCCCTGTCTGTGTAGAAGGAGGTAGACATGGGAGACTTTTCATTTTGTTCTGTACTAAGAAAAATTCTTCTGCCTTGGGATCCTGTTGATCTGTGACCTTACCTCCAACCCTGTGCTCTCTGAAACGTGTGCTGTGTCCACTCAGGGTTGAATGGATTAAGGGCGGTGCAAGATGTGCTTTGTTAAACAGATGCTTGAAGGCAGCATGCTCGTTAAGAGTCATCACCACTCCCTAATCTCAGGTACCCAGGGACACAGACGCTGCGGAAGGCCGCAGGGTCCTCTGCCTAGGAAAACCAGAGACCTTTGTTCACTTGTTTATCTGCTGACCTTCCCTCCACTGTTGTCCTATGACCCTGCCAAGTCCCCCTCTGTGAGAAACACCCAAGAATTATCAATAAAAAATAAATAAATAAATAAATAAATAAATAAAAAAGATTTCTTTGGGGGGTGCTGGGAATGTTCTGGAACTCAATAGTGGTAACTGCACAAGTCTGTAAATATACTAATTTTGAATCATTAAAACTAAAATTCATTAACAATCATTGAATTATACACATGAAAACAAGCGAACTTTATGGATTGCGATTTTTTTTTTTTTTTTTTTGAGGCAGAGTTTCGCTCTTGTTGCCCAGGCTGGAGTGCAATGGCGCGATCTCAGCTCACTGCAACCTCTGCCTCCAGATGCAAGCGATTCTTACATCTCAGCCTCCCAAGTAGCTGGGATTACAGGCATGCACCACCATGCCCCGCCAATTTTTGTATTTTTAGTAGAGACAGAGTTTCACCATGTTGCTTCGTCTGGTCTCGAACTCCTGACCTCAGGTGATCCGCCCGCCTCGACTTCCCAATGTGCTGGGATTACAGGCATGAGCCAGCATGGTGGCCATGGAGTGCAACTTTTATCTCAATAATGCTGTTTTGAAAATAGTACAGAGAGTTCTTGTGTACCCTTCACGTAGCTTGAGAACTTTTTATTTTATTTTATTTTTGAGCGAGAGTCTCACTCGGTCACCCAAGCTGGAGTGCAATAGCATGATCTCAGCTCACTACAACCTCCACCTCCGGGTGCAAGCGATTCTTATGCCTCAGCCTCCCAAGTAACTAGGATTACAGGCATGTGCCACCATGCCCCACTAATTTTTGTATTTTAGTAGAGACAGGTTTTCACCATGTTGGCTAGGCTGGTCTCGAATTCCTGACCTCAAATGATCCACCTGCCTCAGCCTCCCAAAGTGCTGGGATTACAGGCGTGAGCCACCACACCTGCCCCCTGCCCACCCCCCAGAACTTGTTTTTTTTTTTTTTTTTGGAGACGGAGTCTTGCTCTGTCACCCAGGCTGGAGTGCAGTGGCCCGATCTTGGCTTACTGCAACCTCTGCCTACCGGGTTCACACCATTCTCCTGCCTCAGCCTCCCGAGTAGCTGGGACTACAGGCGCCTGCCACCATGCCCGGCTAATTTTTTTGTATTTTTAGTAGAGATGGGGTTTCACCGTGTTAGCCAGGATGGTCTCGATCTCCTGACCTCGTGATCCACCCTCCTCAGCCTCCCAAAGTGCTGGGATTACAGGCGTGAACCACCGCGCCCGGCCACCCCCCAGAACTTCTTATACAACCATAGAGCGACAATCAAACCAGGAAATTGACATTGGTACAATACTCTTTTTTTCTTTTTTGAGACGGAGTCTTGCTCTTTTGCCCAGGCTGGAGTGCAGTGACTATCTCAGCTCACTACAACCTCTACCTCCTGGGTTCAAGCGATTCTCCTTCCTTAGCCTCTCAAGTAGCTCGAAGCACAGGTGCGTGCCACCATGCCCGGCTAATTTTTTTGTATTTTTAGTAGAGACAGGGTTTCACCGTGTTAGCCAGGATGGTCTCGATCTCCTGACCTTGTGATCCGCCAGCCTCGGCCTCCCAAAGTGCTGGGATTACAGGCGTGAACCACCGCGCCCGGCCACAATACTCTTAATGAAACTACAGACCATAGTAGGATTTCACCAGGGCTTAGAGCAATGTCTGGCACGTAGTGAACCTTACACAGGTGAAAGGACTTCACTACCATGACGATGATGATGATGAAGATGATAATGATGATGTTGGACTTTCTAGCACAGCCAGATTGATATGGTGCCTATTTTCAGAGCATGCCATGTTAGTTTCTATATCTAAACCTTTTTTGGCCTGGCACGGTGGCTCACGCCTGAAATCCCAGCAATTTGCGAGGCTGAGGTAGGCAGATTACTTGAGCTCAGTAGTTCGAGACCAGCCTGACAAACATGGAGAAACGCCATCTCTACGAAAAATACAAAATTAGCCGGGTGTGGTGGCACATGCCTGTAACCCCAGCTACTCAGGAGGCTGAGGCAGGAGAATCGCTTGAATCCTGGAGGCAGAGGTTGCAGTGAGCCGAGATTGTGACACTGCACTCCAGCCTGGCAACAGAGTGAGACTCTGCCTCAAAAAACAAAAAACAAACCAAAACCCCCACTTTTTTTCTATGAAACCAGCCTCGCTCTGTCACCCAGGCTGGAGTGCAGTGGTGCCATCATGATCCTCCCACCTCAGCCTCCCGAGTAGCTGGGACTACAGGCATGTACCACTATGCCTGGTTAATATTTTTATTATTTGTAGAGATGAGGGTCTCAGTATGTTGCCCAGGCTAGTCTTAAACTCATGAGTTTAACCAATCCTCTCGCCGCTGCCTCCCAACGTGCTAGGATTACAGGTATGAGTCACGGTGCCCGGCTTCTTTCTTAACTCTTTCTAGTAGTTCTACCACTTGGGATTACCTTTTTCCTTCCTCTCCATTTACCTTTATGAAATCCTCACATCCATCCATCTCCATCAAATCTTTAACAATTCTCCTCTGTCTTTTTTGACTGTAGGGACCTTTAGAACACCCAGCATTAAAAAATAGATTTCAGGCCGGGCATGGGGGCTCACGCCTGTAATCCCAGCACTTTGGGAGGGCCGAGGCAGGAGGATTTCGTAAGGTCAGGAGTTTGAGACCAGCCTGGCCAACATAGTGAAACCCTGTCTCTACTAAAAATCCAAAACTTAGCCGGCAGTAGTGGCGCGTGCCTGTAATCCAGCTACTCTGGAGACTGAGGCAGGAGAATTGCTTGATCCTGGGAGGTGGAGGTTGTGATGAATTGAGATCGCGCCATTGCACTCCAGTCTGGGCAACAGAGTGAGACCCTGTCTCAAAAAAACAAAAGGAATATTTTTTAAATTTTTACCGTTCTGAAAGCACATTGACATCCTTTGAATTTTTTTCTAATTATTTCACTTTGATTTGTAAATTCTCAACTAGATTCAGGGGCTGTATGGGTTACAATTCCTCTGCACCCTCCACAGAATTTCAGACTTTTTTTTTTCCCCCGAGACAGAGTCTCGCTCTGTCACCCAGGCTGGAGTGCAGTGGCGCGATCTTGGCTCACTGCAACCTCCCCCTCCCGGGTCAAGCGATTCTCCTGCCTCAGCCTCCCGAGTAGCTGGGACTACAGGCGCCCGCCACCACGCCCGGCTAATGTTTGTATTTTTAGTAGAGACGGGGTTTCACCATGTTGGCCAGGCTGGCCTCGAACTTCTGGCTTTAAGTGATCCGCCTGCCTCGGCCTCCCAAAGTGCTGCGATTCCAGGCGTGAGCCACCGCGCCCGGCCAAGGTCTTAATTCTTGCCTGCCTTTCTGCTCCCCTGTGAACTCTACTGGTTGTCTTTTTTCCTGCTTTATCCCTCGTCCTCGGTAGACAGTGATGGTTAAATGAATGAATGCATGAACAAATGACTGTCCAGGAGCTAGTACTGCATTGCATGTACACATTGATGACAACAGACATCGTACAATGCGCAATCTTGGCAAATTTATTCAAACCCTTTAGACTTCGCTCTCTCACAGTGCGACGCCGGGAGCCCATCACACGCTGAGGTCTGTCAGAGGCCCCAGAAACAGCCTCGGAAATGGAGGAGGCGGGGCTTCACCCCGACCACACCCCCTTGCGTTCAAAGCCTTTCCGCCTATGGGCCCGCCTCCTCGGCGCAGTGTGCAACTCTAATTGGTCGTCTCACTAATCCATCTGAGCACCTCGGCGCCGACTGGATCAACTGCTGAACTCGGGTTGCGCACTTCCCGGCGCTGGGAACGCGGAGCGGACGCAGTCTGGCCGCCATTGCGCTGCGGGGAAAGCGGCCTCTTGTGTGAGGGCCTGTGGGGTGCGTGGCAGGCGTTTAAGGCCGGGCTGCGGGAGGCGTGGTCGGGTCGGGCCGAGTGACCGAAGGGGTTAGGCCGGGCGGGGCTGGATGCACTGTGTGGCGGGACTGCAGGCCGGGGTCCCCGGACGCCTTTCTGCTGCGCTTCTTGTGGGCCCGGGCCTGTGGTTAGTGAATTTTTCTATCCCGCCGCTCCCCAGATTCTCCGGATATGGCCGGAGTGTTTCCTTATCGAGGGCCGGGTAACCCGGTGCCTGGCCCTCTAGCCCCGCTACCGGACTACATGTCGGAGGAGAAGCTGCAGGAGAAAGGTGAGGCGAGAGTGTGGAGCGGCGCGCGGGCCGGAGGCGGGGCGGGTGTGCGCGCGCGCAGGCGGGTGGGGACCCTCCCCGTTTGGGCAGCTCCTGAGGTGTCAGCTCCCTTGTTATTTCCAGTTAATTTTTCATCAAGTCATTTTAAGCGCGTATTATTTGCAAGCGCTGATCCAGCGGGGGTACAGTAGTGACGGAGACAAAATTCCTGTCCTTACGGGGTTTAAATTACAGCGGGAGAGACAGAGAATAACAAAACCTTGAAGCTCTGTAATAAAAATGTCAGGCCGGGCGCGGTGGCTCACGGTTGTAATCCCAGCACTTTGGGAGGCCCAGGCGGGCGGATCACCTGAGGTCAGGAGTTCGAGACCAGCCTGGCCAACACAGTGAAACCTCGTCTCTACGAAAAATACAAAAATGAGTCGTGTGTGGTGGCGCGTGTCTATAATCCCAGCTACTGGGGAGGCTGAGGCAGGAGAATGGCTTGAACCCAGGAGGCGGAGGTTGCAGTGAGCCGACATCGCACCATTGCACTCCAGCCTGGGAGACAGAGTGAAACAACCTCTCAAAAAAAAAAAAAAAAGTCAGATAGTGATCAATGTGATGAAAGGAAAAACAGAGTAAAATGGTAAGGGAATTGGCAAGGGGTGCTTCTTCCTGCTGGTGCCTGCTTCTCCCTCACACTCACTGACAGGAGCTTACCCTAGGGCAAGAGGTGAAGAGGATTAGGGGGAGGGTGTGCAGGCCTTTAAACTGAGGTGCCTTTCCAGCTCGAAAATGGCAGCAATTGCAGGCCAAGCGCTATGCAGAAAAGCGGAAGTTTGGGTTTGTGGATGCCCAGAAGGAAGACATGCCCCCAGAACATGTCAGGAAGATCATTCGAGACCATGGAGACATGACCAACAGGAAGTTCCGCCATGACAAAAGGGTTTACTTGGGGTAAGGAACATCCTGAAATAATTTCATTTGGAATTTGGCCCTTTTCCCTTCTCCCTGTCCCACAGTCTTGGATTGATGCTTTGACAGCTCATCTTGGTGGATATAAGAGAAAGGAGAAAACCAGTAGGAGTCTCTGATAATTTCTACATCTTCCACTTTTGCAGTCTGTTTCCCCTCTCTTCCCGATCTGGGACTGGTGCTTTAATTTGTCCTGTTGATGATATTATAAGATGTCCCTGGCCAGGCGCGGTGGCTCATGCCTGTAATCCCAGCACTTTGGGAGGCCGAGGCGGGTGGATCATGAGGTCAGGAGATCGAGACCATCCTGGCTAACACGGTGAAACCCCGTCTCTACTAAAAATACACAAAATTAGCTGGGCGTGGTGGCAGGTGTCTGTAGTCCCAGCTACTTGGGAGGCTGAGGCAGGAGAATGGCGTGAACCTGGGAGGCGGAACTTGTAGTGAGCCGAGATCACACCACTGCACTCTGGCCTGGGCGAAAGTACGAGACTCCGTCTCAAAAAAAAAAAAAAAATGAAAAATAAGATGTCCCTATGGTTGAGCTGGTTGAAGTCCAGAGTGGGATACTGTGCATAGTGGCAGCCTGTCGCTCCTCAGGGACCTGAATTCTGTGTTTGGGGTATTTAATTTCAGAGGTTTCCCTACTCCTGTTTTTTCTGTGGCTCTAAACTGGGCTAGTACAGGTACAGATGTCTTAGCAGATTCCTGTTCTATTTGGACACAAAAATGTTTGCCATGTAATGAACTGGAAGTTTTGTTTATTTCAAAAAATACTTAGAGAACTGTGCTGGCTGCTGGGGATATAGTAGCGAGCAGAGGGTAACAATCTCCGCCTTTCTGCAGTGTGCGGTCTAGTGGCCTGACAGACATGAGACAACTGGTGATAGTGAAGTATGGTGAATACTTTATTATGATTTATGGGAAGATGCGGAGGGAATAGGATGTGAGAGAGCCGCAAAGCTGTCTCCAGAGGGATAGCCGTTGATTTAGAGGAGCTGATACCAGCATTGTGGGATTATGACGTTTAAGAAGAGTGGTGCAAGGTGAAGTTGGAGAGGGAGAGGCAGGGTTTCTGGTTAGGAAGGGCCTGTGGGCTAAGTTTGGGAGTTTGGATTGTAAGGTAGGACTGTGGAACATGAACATGTGGCTTCTCTGCATGGGACAGGTAGCAGAACACCTCGTCATTTCTGATAGCCTTCTCTTTTTCTAATGTGCCAGTGCCCTAAAGTACATGCCCCACGCAGTCCTCAAACTCCTGGAGAACATGCCTATGCCTTGGGAGCAGATTCGGGATGTGCCTGTGCTGTACCACATCACTGGAGCCATTTCCTTCGTCAATGAGATTCCCTGGGTCATTGAACCTGTCTACATCTCCCAGTGGGGGTGAGAAAGGCTGAAATATGGTGGGTGGTGGTGGTGGTGGTGGTTGGGAGGCAGTGGGTAGAAATGGTTGTGTGATGTCTTGCCTTCCAGGTCAATGTGGATTATGATGCGCCGAGAAAAAAGAGATAGGAGGCATTTCAAGAGGATGCGTTTTCCCCCTTTTGATGATGAGGAGCCGCCCTTGGACTATGCTGACAACATCCTAGATGTTGAGCCACTGGAGGCCATTCAGCTAGAGCTGGACCCTGAGGAGGACGCCCCTGTGTTGGACTGGTTCTATGACCACCAGCCGTTGAGGGACAGCAGGAAGTGAGTGATAGATGGAGATACTACACCTGGGAGGAGTTCTGGAAATGCAGAAGGAGTCCTGGGAGATCAGTAGGTGGTATGGGTTTGTCTAGCTGCTTACTTGAGGTGGGCCTTTCATTTTTTACCTAGGTATGTAAATGGCTCCACTTACCAGCGCTGGCAGTTCACACTACCTATGATGTCGACTCTCTACCGCCTGGCTAATCAGCTCCTGACAGACTTGGTGGATGACAACTACTTCTACCTGTTTGATTTGAAGGCCTTCTTTACGTCCAAGGCACTCAATATGGCCATTCCTGGAGGCCCCAAATTTGAACCTCTTGTTCGAGACATCAACCTACAGTGAGTTGGAGAGATTAGGGATTTTAGACATTTTGAGTTGAATGAAACGTAATCTTGATCCTTAAAGTCCTGATATAACTTCCAAATTAGTCTGTTTACACCAGGTGCAGTGGCTCACGCTGTAATCTCAGCACTTTGGGAAGCTGAGGCAGGAGGATTGCTTGAGCCCAGAAGTTTGAGACCAATCTGGGCAAAATGGCAAAACCCTATCTTTACCAAAAAATGTAGCTGGGCGTGGTGACACTCACAGCTTCGTGTAGTCTCAGTTACTTGGGAAGCTGAGCTGTGGGAGGATTGTTTGAGCCCAGGAGGTCACGGCTGCAGTGAACGATGATCATGCCATTGCATTCCAGCTTGGGTGATAAGAGTGAGACCCTGTCTCAAAAAAAAAAAAGTCTGCTTATTCTTGATGTTGTACCCTAGGGATGAAGACTGGAATGAATTCAATGATATTAACAAGATTATCATCCGGCAGCCTATCCGCACTGAGTACAAGATTGCTTTTCCTTACTTGTACAACAATCTTCCACACCATGTCCACCTCACCTGGTAAGAGACCTGGAACACAACATTTGGAAAGGAGAAGGCTGCTGTTTAGGTTGGGCCAGGGCGGGAAAACTTTGGCTGACTCTTCCTTTCATTTTAGGTACCATACTCCCAATGTTGTATTCATCAAAACTGAGGATCCTGACTTGCCAGCTTTCTACTTTGACCCTTTGATCAACCCAATCTCCCATAGGCACTCAGTCAAGGTGAGGAAGGGAAGGGATGCTTTCCCTCAGCTCTTCTAGGAGAAATGCGTGAGGTTGGCTGATGTTACTAAACGCTCAGGTGGAGGGAGATGTGTTTTCCGTCTTGCTAAGTGTTCCCCTTGAGCTATAAGCGAATATGAGAATTCAGCATTTGCTTTAAAACATGTCATTGGTATAATCCTGTTTTCTGTGATTATCCTTTTGGACTTTACGGTTCTTTTCTTGGGTGCTCTAGATAATCTGTCCCGGTCTGTCTCTATTGTGTTTGTTTGTTTTAGCCTTTATATTGAGATGTAGTTAACATACCATACAAGTTATCCATTTAAAGTGTGTAATTTGATGGTTTTTAGCTTATTCTCAGAGTTGTCCCAACTGTCACGACATGCAATTTGAGAATATTTTTATTACTTGAGAAAGAAACCCTTAGCAGTTACTCGCCATTTCTCCCCAACTTCCTTACGCAACCACTAATCTACTTTCTGTCTATAGATTTGGCTATTCTACACATTTCATATGATAGAATGAAATAGAATCGTACACTATGTAGTCTTCAGTGACTGGCTTCTTAAGCTTACCATAATGTTTTTGATGCTCATCTGTGTTCCGTTGTGTCCAAGCCCAGTGTTTGGAGCTTGGGTGGGAGATGATTGCAATGTTGACCTCCTGTGATGTTGGGGCTCCATTGGGAGGCTTTCTGGTGGTCAGCCAGTTGAGGTGTGAGAAGTGACGCTTGCTTTCCTGGTGGCCCTGTCTTGTTCTTTGCTGTCTTGGTTTCCTTTGTGCTGGCACTTCAGGGCTGCTTTTGTCAGACAGCCCAGTTTCCATAGCAGATACAGGCTTTGTGCTTGGCCCCAGAGAATTTCCCTCATCTTAAGTCTGTGCCTAGTTCAGCAGGAGCTAAACCCTTAGAGGGATTCCTTTTTCAGAGCCAGGAACCATTGCCGGATGATGATGAGGAATTTGAGCTCCCGGAGTTTGTGGAGCCCTTCCTGAAGGACACACCCCTCTATACAGACAATACAGCCAATGGCATTGCCCTGCTCTGGGCCCCGCGGCCCTTCAACCTACGCTCTGGTCGCACCCGTCGGGCCCTGGACATACCCCTTGTCAAGAACTGGTAAGGTTTTTCCCTGTGGCAGGGGGAATGATAGTGGATGTGTAGGAGAAAAGACTCCAACTAGGTGGGCATGTAGCCTTTTTTTTAAATTCTTTTTTTTTTTTTCCCATAAAAATGGTAGACAACCCAAGGCTTGCAGCCTTTAGCAGAGTGTCTGGAAGAAGAGATGGCCAAACTCTGGTGGGCTTATTTTTCCAGGTATCGGGAGCATTGTCCTGCCGGGCAGCCTGTGAAAGTGAGGGTCTCCTACCAGAAGCTGCTTAAGTACTATGTGCTGAATGCCCTGAAGCATCGGCCCCCTAAGGCTCAAAAGAAGAGGTAAGGTGCCCCAGGGGCCCTGCGCAGACTTCTGTTCCAGAGATATCAGTAGGCTGACTCTTACTCTCCATGTTCCCACCTCAGGTATTTGTTCCGCTCCTTCAAAGCCACCAAATTCTTTCAGTCCACAAAGCTGGACTGGGTGGAGGTTGGGCTCCAGGTTTGCCGCCAGGGCTACAACATGCTCAACCTTCTCATTCACCGCAAAAACCTCAACTACCTGCACCTGGACTACAACTTCAACCTCAAGCCTGTGAAAACGCTCACCACCAAGGTGCCTGCATTGGACCCTAGGGGCCTCCTGGGCTTCAAGGACGGACAGTTGTTTTCCTCTGGTTACTGATGAAGGCATACATCAGTTGGGTCCATTGCTCATTCACGTTCTGTCTGTTTTTTGCATCTTCTCCAGGAAAGAAAGAAATCTCGTTTTGGGAATGCTTTCCACCTGTGTCGGGAAGTTCTGCGTTTGACTAAGCTGGTGGTGGATAGTCACGTGCAGTATCGGCTGGGCAATGTGGATGCCTTCCAGGTAAGGTTAGGTATTCCCAACCCCTGCCTGGGTGAGGACGCTGGAGGAAGCCTGTGCTGACCGTGGAGCTGGTTTAAGCTCCAGGTCTGATGGGGCAATTGTATTGCAGCTGGCAGATGGATTGCAGTATATATTTGCCCATGTTGGGCAGTTGACGGGCATGTATCGATACAAATACAAGCTGATGCGACAGATTCGCATGTGCAAGGACCTGAAGCATCTCATCTATTATCGTTTCAACACGGTGAGACCTTGACTTTACTGACTTTCTTTTTTTTGAGACAGAGTCTTACTCTTGTCTCTTGGGCTGGTGTGCAATGGCACGATCTTGGCTCACTGCAACCTCCGCCTCCTGAGTTCAAGCAATTCTCCTGCCTCAGCCTCCCGAGTAGCTGGGATTACAGGTGCCCGCCACCACGCCTGGCAATTTTTTTTTTGTTTTGTTTTGAAACTGAGTCTTTCTCTGTTGCCCCAGCTGGAGTACAATGGCACGATCTTGGCTCACCACAGCCTCCGCCTCCCGGGTTGAAGTGATTCTCCTGCTTCAGCCTCCCAAGTAGCTGGGACTACAGGCGCGCACCACCATGCCTGGCTAGTTTTTGAAATTTTAGTAGAGATGGGGTTTCACTGTATTGGCCAGGCTGGTCTTGAACTCCTGACCTCAGGTGATCCACACTCCTCGGCCTCCCAAAGTACTGGGATTACCAGCGTGAGTCACCGTGCCCAGCCTCACTGGACTTAACTTTCTCAGATCTTTTTTCATGTATACATTTAGACAGGGCTCTTTCCAGGGACCTATTTGGAGAGCAGCTATGACTGTGTCCTTACTGCTCCTTTAAATTCACATGGGCGATCTTAGTTCCTGGTTTTTGCCTTAAGGTTTCTCATTTACCCTTTTGTTTTAGATGTTGAGGTCCCAGAGTTTTTTTTTCTTTTTACCCCTCTACTGCCATACCTACATTCCTCTGTATGTATATTATACATATATGCCCCACCTCTGCCCAGGTTTCTATTGTTGTTTAAATGCATTGCTAACTTGTATTCTTAACTTCTGCTTGGGATCGTAGGGCCCTGTAGGGAAGGGTCCTGGCTGTGGCTTCTGGGCTGCCGGTTGGCGAGTCTGGCTCTTTTTCATGCGTGGCATTACCCCTTTATTAGAGCGATGGCTTGGCAACCTCCTGGCCCGGCAGTTTGAAGGTGAGTGGTTTTCTCTGTGTCCAACTTCTCCTGTTATTGCTTCAAAAGTACCTGCCCCTGTTTGAGTCTGTTCCCTGCTCTTGTATGAGCACTCTTCCTACTGGATTGCCTTTAGGTCCAGTTCTGAAATGAGTCTGACCTAGTATTCTATTTCTTGGGCTTCCTTCTGGGGCCTTGAGAGGCAGTCATGCATTTGCAGGAGTGGAAATTCCTCAGAAGCATAGTTGTGAATGTTTAAGGTAGCTCGTCTTTTTGCATATGCTGGGCACAGGGACGCTTTGTTAATACCTAATTTTATTAATAACCATAATGAGTGAGGAGCATGAAGGTAGAGACCCTTATTGAAAGCAAGGAATCTTCCTTGTAATCCCCTTGGGACACTCTACTTCCAGGTCGACACTCAAAGGGGGTGGCAAAGACAGTAACAAAGCAGCGAGTGGAGTCACATTTTGACCTTGAGCTGCGGGCAGCTGTGATGCATGATATTCTGGACATGATGCCTGAGGGGATCAAGCAGAACAAGGCCCGGACAATCCTGCAGCACCTCAGTGAAGCCTGGCGCTGCTGGAAAGCCAACATTCCCTGGAAGGTGGGTGTCTCTTTATTTCCTTGGAGGCGTAAACATCCGTCTTTAGGGTAGGATTACCACTTCGGGAATCATTAGGGGGCTATCTGGCTCCAATCTCTTTTCTTTTCCCTTTTAGACAGGGAAAAGAAGCACCATGTTGCTTAGGCTGGCCTCAAGCTCCTGAGCTCAAGCGATCCTCCTTAGCCTCCTGAGTAGCCGGGACTACAGATGTGTGCCACAGTGCCTGGCTGGATCCTGGCTTGATTGTGCTTTTTGGACTTTTAGGTCCCTGGGCTGCCGACGCCCATAGAGAATATGATCCTTCGATACGTGAAGGCCAAGGCTGACTGGTGGACCAACACTGCCCACTACAACCGAGAACGGATCCGCCGAGGGGCCACTGTGGACAAGACTGTTTGTAAAAAGAATCTGGGCCGCCTCACCCGGCTCTATCTGAAGGCAGAACAGGAGCGGCAGCACAACTACCTGAAGGTTGGGCAGAGTAGGCTGGGCTGGGTGTGAGTGGTGGGGGAGTGGGCAAGAGGGAGGACTGTAGAGTTGTGACTGAACCTTGTTCTGGCAGGATCGGGCTGTAGCGGGAGGCTAATTTCATGTCCACCTTACAGGACGGGCCTTACATCACAGCGGAGGAAGCAGTGGCAGTATATACCACCACAGTGCATTGGTTGGAAAGCCGCAGGTTTTCACCCATCCCATTCCCCCCACTCTCCTATAAGCATGACACCAAGTTGCTCATCTTGGCATTGGAGCGGCTCAAGGAAGCTTATAGGTGAGTAGTAGGGTAGATAGGTTCCTGCTGGGAAGGTGACAGCAGGGAATGGCGTCATCCTCAGAGTCCAAAGAAAGAAGGTGTAGCCCCAGTCTTTCCTGGTTTTACTTCCTCCTAGTTTTCCCATTCACCCTTCCCATTGCTTTTGTCAGTGTGAAGTCTCGGTTGAACCAGTCTCAGAGGGAGGAGCTAGGTCTGATCGAGCAGGCCTACGATAACCCCCACGAGGCGCTGTCCCGCATCAAGCGTCACCTCCTCACACAGAGAGCCTTCAAAGAGGTGAGTGAGGCCTCCCAAGTTTTCTTTTTGGTTCTACCAAAGGTAGCAGTTGCCTTTGGTTCTACCAAAGGTAGCAGTTGGTGGATTGGTGTGAACCAGCCTCCTTGTCCCACAGGTGGGCATTGAGTTCATGGATCTGTATAGCCACCTCGTTCCAGTATATGATGTTGAGCCCCTGGAGAAGATAACTGATGCTTACCTGGACCAGTACCTGTGGTATGAAGCCGACAAGCGCCGCCTGTTCCCACCCTGGATTAAGCCTGCAGACACAGAACCACCTCCGCTGCTTGTTTACAAGTGGTGTCAAGGTAGAACTTTCATGAGATCGCCCTGTGAGGAACGGGGCAGGAATTTAGTTCTACGTCAAAAATCTCATCTGGGTAGCATGATTGGTTTACTCTCTTGATGCGTGGTAGTAAAGGGAAGTAGTGTTCGTGTTAAACTGAGGAAAAGCCCATAGTCAAAGCAATCCAAATGAATACGTGGAATCATAGTGGGATTGGTTATGGAAGGTAATGATAGTTCCTGTGGGGCTAGTCTTGCAAGAGGATTTCTAACCTGCTGGAGACCTGCCTTGCTACTCCTCAGGCATCAATAACCTGCAGGACGTGTGGGAGACGAGTGAAGGCGAGTGCAATGTCATGCTGGAATCCCGCTTTGAGAAGATGTATGAGAAGATCGACTTGACTCTGCTCAACAGGCTGCTGCGCCTCATCGTGGACCACAACATAGCCGACTACATGACAGCCAAGAACAACGTCGTCATCAACTATAAGGTGCGTCTCAGGCGCAGTAGCATGGAATTGTGTGTGGAGTGCTTGTCTGGCCCACTGACTCAGAATTTGCTGAGGAGGAGGCTGGGTGCGGTGGCTCATGCCTGTAATCCCAGCACTTTGGGAGGCTGAGGCGGGCAGATCACGAGGTCAGGAGTTCGAGACCAGTCTGGCCAACATGGTGAAACCCCGTCTCTACTTAAAAAAATACAAAAATTAGTTGGGTGTGGTGGTGGGCGCCTGTAATCCCAGCTACTTGGGAGGCTGAGGCAGGAGAATCACTTGAACCCGGGAAGTGGAGGTTGCAGTGAGCTGAGATTGCGCCAGTGCACTCTCAGCCTGGGTGACTGAGCACAACTCCGCCTCGGGAGTGGAAAAAAGTAGAATTTGCTGAGGGGAGAACAAAAGAGGTTAACTCTGGAGAATCCTGGGGCATGGCTCACATTCTTAAGAATTGTAGTTCTTTCTTTCTAGGACATGAACCATACGAATTCATATGGGATCATCAGAGGCCTGCAGTTTGCCTCATTCATCGTGCAGTATTATGGCCTGGTGATGGATTTGCTTGTATTGGGATTGCACCGGGCCAGTGAGATGGCTGGGCCCCCTCAGATGCCAAATGACTTTCTCAGTTTCCAGGACATAGCCACTGAGGCTGCCCACCCCATCCGTCTCTTCTGCAGATACATTGATCGCATCCATATTTTTTTCAGGTGAGGGCTTTCCTGGATTCCTAGCCTTGCAGGGTACTGAGGCATGTGCTTTGCCTCTGAAATCAGCTATTGTACCTGAGTTGACTTAACTGCTGTTGGGGCTTTAAAATGGAATGAAGCGGCCGGGTGCGGTAGCTCACGCCTGTAATCCCAGCACTTTGGGAGGCCGAGGCAGGCGGATCACGAGGTCAGGAGATCGAGACCATCCTGGCTAACACAGTGAAACCCCGTCTCTACTAAAAATACAAAAAATTAGCTGGGCGTGGTGGCGGGTGCCTGTAGTCCCAGCTACTCCGGAGGCTGAGGCTGGAGAAGGGCGTGAACCTGGGAGGCGGAGCTTGCAGTGAGCCGGGATTGCGCCGCTGCGCTCCAGCCTGGGGAAAGAGCGAGACTGTCTCAAAAAATAAATAAATAAAAATAAAATGGAATGAAGCCCGGGGAGGGTGGGGGTAGGATGGGGTGGGGTCTCCGTCTATTGAGCTGGAGGACTTGTGGGTGTCCCAAATCTCAGTGTACTGGGGCCTCAGCAGTGTACCTGGTCTGGTGTAGGTTCACAGCAGATGAGGCTCGGGACCTGATTCAACGTTACCTGACAGAGCACCCTGACCCCAATAATGAAAACATCGTTGGCTATAATAACAAGAAGTGCTGGCCCCGAGATGCCCGCATGCGCCTCATGAAACATGATGTTAACTTGTGAGTCTAGGTTGGGGCTGTGTGAGCTGGAAGGACATAAGCTAAGGGCCCAGAGAGGGCATACCTGAGGCTGCGTCCTGGGTGGGAGAGGCGTGGCTGTGTCAGGATGTCATCAGTTGGCCTTTGAAGGGAAGTTCCTTCCAAGAAACTGCTGTGACCATGTGTTCTCTGTGGGCAGAGGCCGGGCGGTATTCTGGGACATCAAGAACCGCTTGCCACGGTCAGTGACTACAGTTCAGTGGGAGAACAGCTTCGTGTCTGTGTACAGTAAGGACAACCCCAACCTGCTGTTCAACATGTGTGGCTTCGAGTGCCGCATCCTGCCTAAGTGCCGCACCAGCTATGAGGAGTTCACCCACAAGGACGGGGTCTGGAACCTGCAGAATGAGGTACAGCCTGGGCGGGGCTGGGAGTGACATGAACGCGCCTGCACTTCCTGGGTCAGTCACCGGAGTCTTGTTGGGTGGAAAGACTTGAGTGGTGGGCACAGTTGGCTCTTGCTTCTGTGGGAGTTCCTCGGACATGTTAACCTTGACTTTGTGGTTTAGGTTACTAAGGAGCGCACAGCTCAGTGTTTCCTGCGTGTGGACGATGAGTCAATGCAGCGCTTCCACAACCGCGTGCGTCAGATTCTCATGGCCTCTGGGTCCACCACCTTCACCAAGGTACAGGGCCGTCATGCCCAGCTTCCCTCTTGTCCTCTGCTGTCCTCTGCTCATTTCACACCCCTTTCACTTCGTCCCCTGCTGGCTGCTTCCTTCTCTTCTTTGCTTAGTGTGCCAGTTTCCATGCTCTGTGCCATAGTGGCTTATAGTATGTCAGGTCACTTCATCGTTATTTTCTGAGCGTTCCTTGTAGAAATTGTGTAGCCTCCTTCTTGTGGACTTGTGATGATTCTAAATTAAGGCAAGAGTAAAAGTTGGATTTATTATTTTGAACAGAAAAGCATTATTTTTGCATTTTCTCAGGTGCTTATCTAAGTCATGTTAACCAGTGGCATAGAGAACCTGTGAAAAAGCAGCCCTCATAGGCATCTCGGGGTTCGTTTCTCCTTCACTTACCTTCAGAGGCCCAGCCGAAGGCAACCGGAATTGAGAAAGAAAAATCTGAGGAATTTTGAACTACGTATATTTAAGGTTTTGCAAAATTTAAAAAGTTACCTCGGCCGGGCACGGTGGCTCACGCCTGTAATCCCAGCACTTTGGGAGGCCGAGGCTGGTGGATCACCTGAGGTCAGGAGTTTGAGACCAGCCTGTCCAGTGTGGTTCTGAAACCTCGTCTCTGCTAAAAATACAAAAATTAACCGGGCCTGGTGGCCGGCGCCTGTAATCGCAGCTACTTGGGAGGCTCAGGCAGGAGAATTGCTTGAACCCAGGAGGCGGACGTTGCTGTGAGTCGAGATCGTACCATTGCACTCTAGCCTGGGCGACAGAGCAAAAACTCTATCTCAAAATACAAACAAACAAAAAAAAGTTACCTTACTCTGGTTTCCATTAGAGTAACTCTTAGCTATAACATTTTTCTTGCATTCCGACCTTCATATCTCTAAATGTGCGGCATTTGCATGCGCAGAATGTTTTCTGTTTTTTAGTTAAGTCTGTTAAGGATACGTTCTGTTATGTTTTAGAACTATTGCATTACGGTTGAGTTTCCTTTATCCAAAATGCTTGGGACCAGAAATGTTTTGGATTTCAGATTTTCTTTTTTAATATTTTCATTATTTTTATTAGAGACAGGGTCTCACTGTCACTTAGGCTGAAGGGCAGTGGCGCTATCATAGCTCACTGCAGCTCAAGTGATCCTCACACCTCAGCCTCCCAAGTATCTGGGACCACAGGTGCATACGCCACCATGCCTGGCTAATTTTTAATTTTTTTTTTTTTTTTTTTTTTTTTGAGATGGAGTCTTGCTCTGTCACCCAGGCTGCAGTGCAGTGGCGCAGTCTTGGCTCACCGCAAGCTCCGCCTCCCAGGTTCACGCCATTCTCCTGCCTCAGCCTCCTGAGTAGCTGGGACTACAGGCGCCTGCCACCACGCCCGGCTAAGTTTTTGTATTTTTGGTAGAGAAGGGGTTTCACCGTGTTAGCCAGGATGGTCTCGAACTCCTGACCTTGTGATCCGCCTGCCTCAGCCTCCCAAAGTACTGGGATTACAGGCGTGAGCCACCACACCCGGCCTGATTTTTAAATTTTTTGTAGAGCTGGGATCTCACTCTCTTGTCCAGGCTGGTCTCAGACTCTGGATTCAAGCAGTCCTCCTGCCTTAGCCTCTCTAATGCTGGATTATAGGTGTGAGTCACCGTGCCCAGCCTTGAAATATTTTCATTATACTTACAGGTTCAGCATCCCTAATCCAAAATTTGAAATGCCCCAATGAGCATTTCCTTTGAGCGTCATGTTGGTGCTCAGAATGTTGGGACTCAGAAAGTTTCAGCTTTTTGTGAGCATTTTGGGTTTTAGATTAACCTGTATGTGGGAATCTGTGAGAGCACTAGAGTTAGTGATTGCTCTAGCCCAGTCTGGAAGTGGAAGAGGAAAGGATTCCTGAAAGAAGTAGCATGTGATGAGACAGGTGAGGGAGAGCATTCCTTTAGCCAGAAGTGTGGCGATGTAACTAGCTTGTGTACATGGGACCATGGAAAGTTCAAGGTTTGCTGGAGTAAATTGTGGAATTGGGAATGTTAAGAGATGAGGCTGGATAAATAGTGGAGAGCCATATCATGGAGGGCATCGCACACCTTAGGAAGAATCATATAAGGGTCTTAAGCACAGAGTGACTTTGTCAGATGTGTTTTTCTTCTTTTTTTTTTTTGGCTTCCCACACTACAGATGCAGACTTTGTCAAATTTCTGTGTTAGATGATTCACTCTTGCAGCTGTGAGAAAGATGGACCTGAAAGGATAGGATGGGAGACCAGGTTTGGGGACCACTGAAGAAGTCCAGATAAAAATGATGAGAGCAGGCCAGGCGCGGGGGCTCACGCCTGTAATCCCAGCACTTTGGGAGGCCCAGGCAGGTGGATCACCTGAGGTCAGGAGTTTGAGACCAGCCTGACCAACATGGGGAAACCCCATCTCTACTTAAAATATGAAAATTAGCCGGGCGTGGTGGTGCACACCTGTAATCCCAGCTACACAGGAGGCTGAGGCAGGAGAATCGCTGGAACCCGGGAGGCGGAGGTTGCAGTGAGCCGAGATCCCACCAGTGCACTCCAGCCTGGCAACAGGGTGAGACTCTGTCTCCAAAAAAATACATAAATCAATAAAAATGATGAGAGCACTGAAAGTAGAGGTAGGAAGAGGGGAACAGATTTGATAAGAAGTTAGCAGATAAAATCAGCAGAACTTTGTGGTCCTGGGATGCTCAAAGAAAAGTCAAAAATGATGTGCAGATTTTGGCATGGGTGACTAGGTGGGTGTTAGTGCCACCAACTGGAAGACCACATGAACAAGAACAGGTTTAGGATCGAAGATAAAGAAATCTAGTTTAGGATATATAAAGTTTGAAGTTCCTGAGAACATTCAGATGGAGATTTCCCCAGGTATTTATTTATACCTTATTTCTTCAGTTCCAAGATACATATTTAAGTACATATATACACATGTGTAGATTCCTGATTCCTTCTGCTCCCTTAGTGGTGCCTCTTTAATTGATGATCTGTTAGATTTGATTTAAAAAGTATGAGTGAGACATTCCAGGGAGAGAAATGAAACTAGAAAGGTAAGAGCAGTCAGGGATAGCTTAGAGGTTCCTAGGTGAGAAGCAATCTGAAGAAACATGGAGAACAGGTCTGGATTAAAGATGTAGATTTCGGAGCCTATCCACAAAAGGTCAAAAGCTCAAGAATGAGTGACATCACCCAGGGACAATGTGGAGTGAGAAGAGGAGAGGGAGGAATTTGGAAATGTGGGGAATACTAAGATGAAGTGTGGTCAGAACCTGTGGGAGGGTGCCGGGTCTTGGAACCAAGGCCTTCAGGAACACGTGTCCAGAATTGGGGTGATGCTGAGCAGTGTCAGTTGCCTAAGAGCATTTCAGTTAGATGAGGACTGAAAAGTATCCATTGGATTTGACAGTTAGGACGTCATTGGTGACCTTAGCAGGAGCTGTTACAGAAATAGTAGGGATGGAAGCCAGATGGCAGTGGGTGAGGCTTCATGGGAAGTGAGTGAGTGGAGACAGCAAGGACAATCTGTTTGTCAGTTGAAGAGAAGGAAGGACATCAGATGCCACCTAGAGGGAGCTGTAAGTCAGTGCAGGTGTTTTTGAATGACAGTGACTTGAGCGTGTTTTAATTAAGGAGCCCAGTAGCAGTTGAGTGTACAAGAGAAAAGTGTGGAATTGGCTGGACACAGTGGCTCACGCCCGTAATCCCAGCACTTTGGGAGGCCAAGGTGGGTGAATCACCAAGTCAGGAGTTCGAGACCAGCCTGGCCAACATGGTGAAACCCCGTCTCTACTAAAAATACAAAAATTAGCCAGGCGCGGTGGCGGGTGCCTGTAATCTCAGCTACTCGGGAGGCTGAGGCAGGAGAATTGCTTGAACCCGGGAGGTAGAGGTTGCAGTGAGCCAAGATCGTGCCACTGCACCCCAGCCTCGGCGACAGAGCAAGACTCCGTCTCGAAGAAAAGAAAAGTAGGTAATTGATGAGCAGAGGTGCAGAGGGTCTCCCTAGGGATAGAATAAAGAGCAAGCAGAGGAAAAATCCTCTGAACCTGACAGGAAAGAGGTCTGGAAAGATGTGGATATAGATGAGGTTAGTGGGAAGCTATAACAGGATTTTGAGTTTTTCAGCTTTTCTTGGGCTGCAGTTAGGGGAAAGAGTTGTGCATAGTGAATTTCATGGTATTAGGGTATGATGATTGCTGAAGAAACTGAGAGGGATTGGAAGGTGTGTTGGGAGCTCAGCTGGGTTTTGGGAAGACAACTCTGAGCATTTGTTTTTCCCAGAATCACCCAGCTACTCAGTGACAGGGATGCAGAAGGTGGATAGATTACACTGGTGATTAAGGAATAGAGCTCTGTTAGAAGACAGTTGTAGAGTGGTAAGGCATTGAATGCAAGGGAATCAAGAGTGCGGGACCCAGCCGGCCGCGGTGGCTCATACCTGTAATCCCAGCACTTTGGGAGGCCGAGGCGGGTGGATCACGAGTTCAGGAGATTGAGACCATCCTGGCTAACGCGGTGAAACCCCGTCTCTACTAAAAATACAAAAAATTAGCTGGATGTCGTGGCGGGCGCCTGTGGTCCCAGCTACTCAGGGGGGCTGATGCAGGAGAATGGCAGGAACCTGGGAGGCAGAGCTTGCAGTGAACCGAGATCGCGACACTGCACTCCAGCCTGGGTGACAGAGCAAGACTCTGTCTCAAAAAAAAAAAAAAAAAAAAAAAAAGAATGCTAGACCCCATTGAGATACTGGAAGAGGGGAGAGGAGAGAGAGCAGAAGAGGCCATTGGCCTGGGAAAGAATTGTAGGCATCAGGGAACTGGATATCAGAAGTTAGAGGCTGAGGAGTGGAGGAGTGTCTGAGAGGGTAAGGATGCAGTTGACTCTAGTGGTTAGAAGCACAGGCTCTGGAGTCAGATGGGGTTCACATCATATCTTTGTCATATTACTAGTTGGGATCTTGGGAATATTGCCCATGCTGGGCCTCAATTCCCTCATCTGTAAAATAGGGATACTGATAGGACCTAGGTCAGACGGCTTTTGTGAGAATTAAATGAAACGGGGTATTTAGTAAGCCATATTACTTGGTAAATTGCATGATAAAGCTGGGCATGGTGGCTTATGCCTGCAATCCCAGCACTTTTGGAAGCCGAGGTGGGAGGACTGCTTGAGCCCAGGAATTTGAGACCAGCTTAGGCAACATAGCAAGATCCTGTTTATATTTAAAAATAAATAAATAGGCCGGGTGCGGTGGCTCACGCCTGTAATCCCAGCACTTTGGGAGGCCGAGGTAGGTGGATCACGAGGTCAGGAGTTCAGGACCAGCCTGGCCAATATGGTGAAACCCCATCTCTACTAAAAATACAAAAATTAGCCAGGCGTGGTGGCACATGTCTGTAGTCCCAGCTACTCTGGAGACTGAAGCAGGAGAACCACTTGAGCCCCGGAGGTGGAGGTTGCGGTGAGCTGAGATTGCGCCACTGCACTCCAGCCTGGGTGACAAAGTGAGACTCCATCTCAAAAAAAAAAAAAAAAAAAAAAAGCTATGTCATGGGCAAGTTCTATAACTTGTTTTTTATGAAGACATAAGAGGTATAACATATATAAATTTCTTACCATGGTACCTAGTACACGTAGACCTGAGTAAATATTATTTTCCTTCTTGCCTCCCCTTATCCCCCAGGAATTTCTGCTATTTAGTAAAGGAACACTGGGCTCCTCAGGAATTTATGCCTCCTCCCCTTCAGGGATAGAGCACTGTTAACTACAACAGAAATACTGTGTTCCATTACACACATCAGCAATTCCAAGTGCAGTCCAAGAATTTACTAAACCTAATGGGAATCATCCACTTGCCTTTACCCCAGTATCTAGCCTATCCTGGCCCCTGGCCCTCCTTTTTTTTTTTGAGAGGGAGTCTTGCTCTATTGCCCAGGCTGGAGTGCAGTGGCACAATTTCAGCTCACTGCGACCCCCGCCTCCCGGGTTTAAGTAATTCTCCTGCCTCAGCCTCCTGAGTAGCTGGGATTACAGGTGCCTGCCACCATGCCCGGCTAATTTTTGTATTTTTAGTAGAGACAGGGTTTCACCATGTTGGTCAGGCTGGTCTCAAACTCCTGACCTCATGATCCAACCGCCTCGGCCTCCCAAAGTGCTGGGATTACAGGCATGAGCCACCGCACCCGGCCCCCCTCCTTTCTGTAGATCTGCCTGGTTGTCTCATCCTGTGGACATGCGAGATGCTCAGTCTAGCTTTCATAGTAGGGTTTGAGCTGTTATCTCACCTGCAGTCTTTTCTCCTTGCTTGTCTGAATACCATTTGCTCAAGGCAGATTACTATAGTAACTCCAGCCAACGCACTCTTTCACCTCAATAATTGTTCAGAAGACATTTTTTGCCTTAAAGTCTTGACTATATCATTTGGTATTTTGTGGTTTGCTATCTTGTTTTATTCAGCTTTTCAAAGAAACAGCTTTGGTTTCATTAATTTTTATCGTTTTTCTCTTTTTTGTTGCATTGATTTTTTTTTTTTTTGAGATGGGGTCTCTATGACCCAGGTTGGTGTGCAGTGTCGCAGTCTCAGCTCACTGTAACCTCTGCCTCCCAGGCTCAGGAGACCCTCCCACCTTAGCCTCCCAAGTAGCTGGGACCACAGGCACATGCCACCATGCCTGGCTGATTTTTCTTTGTATTTTGGATACAGACAGTTTCGCCATGTTGCCCAGGCTGGTCTTGAATTCCTGAGCTCAGGTAATCCACCCCCCTGGGCTCCCAAAGTGCTGGGATTGTAGGTGTGAGCCACCACGCCTGGCCTTGTTGCATTGATTTCTTCTCTTATCATTGCCATCCCTTTGCTAGTTTGTTAAGGTAAAAGGTTAGATTATCAATTTTGGACCTTTCTCTTTTTTTTTTTTTGAGACAGAGTCTCGCCCTGTCACTCAGGTTGGAGTGCAGTGGCGCGATCTCTGCTCACTGCAAGCTCCGTCTCCCGGGTTCACGCCATTCTCCTGCTTCAGCTCCCAAGTAGCTGGGACTACAGGTGCCCACCACCACACCCGGCTAATATTTTTTTTTGTATTTTTACTACGACGCGGTTTCACCGTGTTTGCGAGGATGGTCTCGATCTCCTGACCACCACCTGATCAGCTTGCCTCGGCCTCCCAAAGTGTTGGGATTATAGGTGTGAGCCACCGCACCTGGCCTGGACCTTTCTCTTTTTCTTTTTTTTTTTTTTTGAGATGGAGTCTCACTCTCTCACCCAGGCTGGAGTGCAGTGGCGCGATCTCAGCTCACTGCAACCTCCGCCCTCTGAGTTCAAGCGATTCTCCTGCCTCAGTCTCCCGAGTAGCTAGGATTACAGATGCCTGCCACCGCACCCGGCTAATTTTTTTGTGTGTTTTTAGTAGAGACAGGGTTTCACCATCTTGGCCAGGCTGGTCTTGAACTCTTGACCTCGTGATCCACCTGCCTCGTCCTCCCAAAGTGCTGGGATTACAGGCGTGAGCCACCGTGCCCAGCTGACCTTTCTCGTTTTTTTTTGTTTGAGACGGAGTCTTGCTCTGTCGCCCAGGCTGGAGTGCAGTGGCGCAATCTTGGCTCACTGCAACTTCCGCCTCCTGGGTTTGTGTCATTCTCCTGCCTCAGCCTCCTGAGTAGCTGGGACTATAGTCGCCTGCCACCATGCTCAGCTAATTTTTTGTATTTGTAGTAGAGACGGGTTTCACCGTGTTAGCTGGGATGGTCTTGATCTCCTGACCTCGTGATCCACCCACCTCAGCCTCCCAAAGTGCTGGGATTACAGGGGTGAGCCACCGTGCCTGGCCAACCTTTCTCTTTTTCTAATAGTATTATTCACTTCTGTAAATTTTCCTCTCAGCATTGCTTTAGCTGCATTCCTCCCTTTTTTTTTTTTTTTTTTTTTGAGGCAGAGTCTCACATTTTCGCCCGGGCTAGAGTGCAGTGGCACGATCTCGGCTCACTGCAACCTCCGCCTACCCTGTTCAAGCGATTCTCCTGCCTCAGCCTCCCAAGTAGCTGGGATTACAGGTGCCCGCCACCACACCCAGCTAATTTTTTTTTGTATTTTTAGTAGAGACAGGTTTTTACCATGTTGGCCAGGCTGGTCTTGAACTCGTGACCTCGTGATTCACCCGCCTTGGCTTCCCAAAGTGCTGGGCTTACAGATATGAGCCATCGTGCCCGGCCCCATTCCTCACATTTTAATATGTTGTGTTTTCATTTTTATTTAGTTAAAAGTATATTCTAATTTCCCTTATGAGTTCATATTTCACCTTAGGTTGTTTCAAATTATGCTGTTTACATATTTGGGGGTTTCCCTTATTAGTTTCTGCTTTGATTCCATTATGATTAGGAAACATGTTGTATATGATCTTAGTTTTAAAAAATGTATCAAGATTTTTTTTTTAATAATTAATTCATTTAGAGGTGGGATCTCACTCTTGCCTAGGTTGGACCCAAACTCCTGGGCGCAAGCGATCCTCCTGCCTCAGCCTTCCAAAGAGTTGGGATTACGGGCATGAGCTACTGCACCTGGCTGAGGCTGACTTTTTGATGTCCTAGCGTACAGTCTCTCTTGGTGCCTGTCCTATGTGTGCTGGAAAATATCTGTTAATCTGTATTCTGCTATTGTTAGGTTGAGTGTTTTACAAACATTAGGTCCAGTCAGTTGGTTACATTGCTTAAGTCTTCTATATCCTTAGTGATATTTTTTGTATACTTCTATCGATTACTGAGGAGTATTAGAAATCTCTAGTAATCCCAGCAGTTTGGGAGGCTGAGGCTGGTGGATTGCTTGAGCACAGGAGTTCGAGACCAGCCTGGGCAACATAGCGAAACCCCATTTCTACAAAAAAAATACAAAAATTAGCTGGGTGTGGTGGTACACGCCTGTAGTCCCAGGTGCTTGGGAGGCTGAGGCGGGAGAGTCTCCTGAGCCTGGGAGGTGGAGGCTGCAATGAGTGGAGATGGTGCCATTGCACTCTAGCCTGGGCAACAGAGCAAGACCCTGTCTTGCTTGAGAGAAAGATCCAACTACAGCTGTGAGTTTATTGTCTTTCAGGTCCATCATTTTTGAAATTCTGTTATTAGTTACATAATGTATTTAGGATTATTAGGTCTTCTGAACGAGTTGACTACTTTATCGTATCAAATATCCCTCTGTATTCCTGATAACATTCCATGGTCTGAAGTCTTTGTCTTAATCAGTAGTGCCACTCCAGCTTTGTTTTGTGTTTGCATGGGTGTATTTTTCCATCTTTTTACTGTTAATCTGTGTCTTTGTAACTAAAGTTTATTTCCTATAGACAGCATATAGTTGGCTCTTTTTTTTTTTTTTTTTTTTTTTTTTTTTGAGATGGAGTCTCTTCCTTGGTTGCCCAGGCTGGAGTGCAGTGGCATGATCTTGGCTCAGTGCAACCTCTGCCTCCCGAGTTCAAGCGATTCTTCTACCTCAGCCTCCCAAGAAACTGAGACTACAGGCGCGTGCCACCACGCTCAGCTAATTTTTGTATTTTTAGTAGAGACGGGGGGTCTCACCATGCTGTCCAGGCTGGTTTCGAACTCCTGACCCCGAGGCCCGCCTCAGCCTCCCAGAGTGCTGGGATTACAGGTGTGAGCCACCATGCCCGGCCTTTTTATTTAAATCCAATTTGACAATGTTTGCCTTACAAATGGTCTAAATACCTCAATTAAGGTTAATGTAACTATCAATGTGGCAATGTAGCTCAGTTTAAATCTACCGTCTTACTCTTTTTTTTTTAAATTATTTTTTCTGCTTTTCTCTTGTCCTGCCTTCTTCTGAATTTAGTTGTTTTGTGACTTTATCTCCACTTTTCACTTATTTGGCTACATGGTTTTTTTCTTATTGTTTGCTCTAAGGTTTACAGTATATACATAGCTCACTTACTGTGATCTACTTTGACCATTAGTCTACTACGGATCACTTCACATATAGTACAAGAACCTTAGAATAATACACTTTAAGTTCCACTCCCACTCTTAGTAGTATTTTTGTCATAACATTTTAATTGTACATGTATTATAAGTGCTATAATACTTTGTTACTCTTTTTGCTTTGAACAGCCTTTATCTTTTGTAGAAATTGCAAAATGAGAAAAAATATTTTTTTGCATTTTACCCACATACTTACCATTTCTGGTGTTCTTCACTAGTTTGTATAGCTCCATCTGGTGTGCTTTTTTTTTTCTTTTTCTTTTCTTTTTTTTTTTTTTGAGACACAGTCTTGCTCTGTCTCCCAGGCTGGAGTGCAGTGGTGCGATCTCAGCTCACTGCAACCTCTGCCTCCTGGGTTCAATTTCTGTATTTTTAGTAGAGACGGTTTCATGTTGGCCAGGCTGGTCTTGAACTCCTGACCTCAGGTGATCCACCCACCTCGGCCTCCCAAAGTGCTGGCATGACAGGCGTGAGCCACCACACCTGGCCCAGGGGAACCATTTTTTTTTTTTTTTCCCCTGAGATGGAGTCTCGCTGTGTTGCCCAGGCTGGAATGCAGTGGCACAATCTCAGCTCACTGCAACCTCCACCTCCCAGGTTCAAGCGATTCTCTTGCCTCAGCCTTCTGAGTAGCTGGGATTACAGGCGTCTGCCACCACACCCGGCTAATTCTTGTATTTTTAGTAGAAACAGGGTTTTGCCATGTTGGCCAGGCTGGTCTCCAACTCCCGGGCTCAAGCAGTCCTCCCACCTTGGCCTCCCAAAGTGCTGGGATTATAGGCATGAGCCATCGCGCCCAGCCTCATTGTGTTTTGCTTTCTATTTCCCTAGTGACTAATGATGTTGAACTCAAATCTTTCTTTAGTAGTAGGGATAAAACTAACTGCATCAAGTAGTCTCCACCCTCCCCGCCCCTGGCTCATCTGTAATTTACTTTTTTTTCTACTACCTTTAGATTGTGAATAAGTGGAATACAGCTCTCATTGGCCTTATGACATACTTTCGGGAGGCTGTGGTGAACACCCAAGAGCTCTTGGACTTACTGGTGAAGTGTGAGAACAAAATCCAGACACGTATCAAGATTGGACTCAACTCCAAGATGCCAAGTCGGTTCCCCCCGGTTGTGTTCTACACCCCTAAGGAGTTGGGTGGACTCGGCATGCTCTCAATGGGCCATGTGCTCATCCCCCAATCCGACCTCAGGTACAGCCTGGTTCAACGTATTTCTAAACCCTATTGCTCAGGCCCTAAGGGAAGTGGGTATTTCTTTAGTTTTAGGCTTTATTTTTTCTGTAATCTTGGTTGTACACCCAAACAGGTGGTCCAAACAGACAGATGTAGGTATCACACACTTTCGTTCAGGAATGAGCCATGAAGAAGACCAGCTCATTCCCAACTTGTACCGCTACATACAGCCATGGGAGAGCGAGTTCATTGATTCTCAGCGGGTCTGGGCTGAGTACGCACTCAAGAGGCAAGAGGCCATTGCTCAGAACAGGTGGGCACCTAGGAGGGCATGCCAACCCTGGGGCAGGGGCAGTGGTGGCCTTTGAACCGTGTGGAGTTCAGGGTCAGAGCATGCCATGGTTGTATGGAGGTGAGAAGGCTGGTTCTACTGACCCTAATTATTTTTGGCCAGGAAGGAGTGCTGAGCTCCTCATATGAGATCACGTTTTGACTTGAATCTTTCTTTTTTTGGAAGACGCCTGACTTTAGAAGACCTAGAAGATTCATGGGATCGTGGCATTCCTCGAATCAATACCCTCTTCCAGAAGGACCGGCACACACTGGCTTATGATAAGGGCTGGCGTGTCAGAACTGACTTTAAGCAGTATCAGGTATGTAGAGGGAGCAGATTTTCCCTGAGTCAGGAAAATCCATGGCTATCCCCGAAACTTGGGGCAATAGGCACCCAGAAGCTTGACCGTGCCTGCCTTGCCATCTAGGTTTTGAAGCAGAATCCGTTCTGGTGGACACACCAGCGGCATGATGGGAAGCTCTGGAACCTGAACAACTACCGTACAGACATGATCCAGGCCCTGGGCGGTGTGGAAGGCATTCTGGAACACACACTCTTTAAGGGCACTTACTTCCCTACCTGGGAGGGGCTTTTCTGGTGAGGATTCTCCTCTCTTAGAGGGACCTGTCACAACCCTTTGAGCTCATCTCTTGTATGCCTCTGTGATTTCCTGTGGTGTTTCCCAGACAGCCACCTCCAGGAGGTTAGCAGTGTGCTGGGAAATGGCAGGATATCACCTCACCTGCTTCTCTTGCTCCCCAGGGAGAAGGCCAGTGGCTTTGAGGAATCTATGAAGTGGAAGAAGCTAACTAATGCTCAGCGATCAGGACTGAACCAGATTCCCAATCGTAGATTCACCCTCTGGTGGTCCCCGACCATTAATCGAGCCAATGTGAGTGTGATTGACACTGGAGAGGGGAAGCTAAAGACAGTTGCTGCTTCTTGCCTTGGTTATGTCGTGAGCGCCCGAGTCTCTTGATCTCTAATGTCACATTGTCGTTTTCCTGGCAGGTATATGTAGGCTTTCAGGTGCAGCTAGACCTGACGGGTATCTTCATGCACGGCAAGATCCCCACGCTGAAGATCTCTCTCATCCAGATCTTCCGAGCTCACTTGTGGCAGAAGATCCATGAGAGCATTGTTATGGACTTATGTCAGGTGGGCTGGAATCGAGGGGAGAGGGTACTGTAGAGAGTCAGCTCAGGTGGAATTGAGGGGAGAGGGTACTGTACAGAGTCAGCTCAGGTGGAATCGAGGGGAGAGGGTACTGTACAGAGTCAGCTCAGGTGGAATCGTGGGGAGAGGGTACTGTAGAGAGTCAGCTCAGGTGGAATCGCAGGGAGAGGGTGCTGTACAGAGTCAGCTTAGGTGGAATCGCGGGGAGAGGGTGCTGTACAGAGTCAGCTCAGGTGGAATCGCGGGGAGAGCGTGCTGTACAGAGTCAGCTCAGCTTGCTCTTTTGCATATGGGAAATCCACCCTGGAAGCTCTGAGGATGAGACTCCTATTGCCTCATTATCTTATTGTACAAACTCTGATTTTAATTGGGCTTCCTTAACAAGTCTTAATCTCTCCATGTTTTCCTTCAGGTGTTTGACCAGGAACTTGATGCACTGGAAATTGAGACAGTACAAAAGGAGACAATCCATCCCCGAAAGTCATATAAGATGAACTCTTCCTGTGCAGATATCCTGCTCTTTGCCTCCTATAAGTGGAATGTCTCCCGGCCCTCATTGCTGGCTGACTCCAAGTAAGTGCCTCAGGACCCAGCCCTAGGCAGCCAGGACACTTTCGTTTTCCTGTTCTTCTAGCCCTGCAACTTTAGGAATTGTCCTGTCTGCCTTTGTTTCAAACTTGGAGCCAGTGCTACGCTTGGAGCCTGTCAACACCCTTAGTCAGATCTGCTGATTCTCTGGGGTCCTGCTGACCTGGAACAAGTTGGTGGAGTGGGTGGGATGGTTTTGGGATTTAAGTGGTTCTGGTTCTGGGGACATTGGTTATGCCCATGGTTTCTTAGAAGCTTGAACCCTCTTCATCCTCAGGGATGTGATGGACAGCACCACCACCCAGAAATACTGGATTGACATCCAGTTGCGCTGGGGGGACTATGATTCCCACGACATTGAGCGCTACGCCCGGGCCAAGTTCCTGGACTACACCACCGACAACATGAGTATCTACCCTTCGCCCACAGGTGTACTCATCGCCATTGACCTGGCCTATAACTTGCACAGGTGAGTTGAGGCTCAGGACCATGTATTTTCAGGCCAGGCGCAGTGGCTCACACCTGTAATCCCAGCACTTTGGGAGGCCGCGGTGGGCAGATTGTCTGAGCTCAGGAGTTTGAGACCAGTCTGGGCAACATGGTGAAACCCTGTCTCTACCAAAATACAAAAAATTAGCTGGGCGTGGTGGTCCACGCCTGTAGTCCCAGCTACTCAGAAGGTTGAGGTGGGAGAATTACTTGAACCCGGGAGGCGGAGCTTGCAGTGAACCGAGATTGCGCCACTGCACTCCAGCCTGGGCGACAGAGTGAGACTCCATCTCAAAGAAAAATAATAATAATAATAAATAAATAAATAATCCGTGTATTTTCCATTAGCTCCATACTTTAACGTAGTCATACTTTTTTACTTTACCTAAGTGAGAGGAAGTGGCCCATTCCTCCTATGGGTCACTGATTCTCTTCTCCAGCCTGTATGTACACATGAGCAGAGTGTTGTCAGCCTGGCGAACAGTCTTTCTTCCTCTGTAGAGTTGGCAGCTTGTCTTGTTTCTGGGGCTGTCATTCTCGTCTTAACTTTTCTTGACCCTTTTATCCTCACAGTGCCTATGGAAACTGGTTCCCAGGCAGCAAGCCTCTCATACAACAGGCCATGGCCAAGATCATGAAGGCAAACCCTGCCCTGTATGTGTTACGTGAACGGATCCGCAAGGGGCTACAGCTCTATTCATCTGAACCCACTGAGCCTTATTTGTCTTCTCAGAACTATGGTGAGCTCTTCTCCAACCAGATTATCTGGTTTGTGGATGACACCAACGTCTACAGAGTGACTATTCACAAGGTGAGTGTTAGCAGCAGTGTATAGGTGCGGGACTCTGTACATGGCTGTGGGAGAGTAATGGGCTAAGTGTGTACACATGCTGGGAAGAAGGCAGGATGGGGATGTGTTGTGTAGGCCATGCTAACGAATGCCGTCCTCCTCTAGACCTTTGAAGGGAACTTGACAACCAAGCCCATCAACGGAGCCATCTTCATCTTCAACCCACGCACAGGGCAGCTGTTCCTCAAGATAATCCACACGTCCGTGTGGGCGGGACAGAAGCGTTTGGGGCAGGTGAGCAGGTTTAAAGATGAAGAGGCTGTAGAACCATGTTGCCTCTTATTCTTGGGGTGGACTTGGTAATATTTACTGGTTTATTAGATGAAAGGCTGAGAACATCTCATTTGAACTTATCCCCAAAATACCTTGGGAAGTATTCTGTGGGAGGTCCAAGAGTGTATGAGGTGCTTCGTTCCCTTCCAGCTGGTCTGTTTCCTGAATTTCTAACCTTGAACAGGGCTATCAAAAATCATTTTTCCAAAGGCAACGCATACTCTTTTTTTTTTTTTTTTTTTTTAGCCGGAGTCTCGCTGTGTGGCCCAGGCTGGAGCACAGTGGCTCAATCTCGGTTCACTGCAAGCTCCGCCTCCCGGGTTCACGCCATTCTCCTGCCTTAGCCTCCCGAGTAGCTGGGACTACAGGCGCCCGCCACCACGCCTGGCTAATTTTTTTTGTATTTTTTAGTAGAGACAGGGTTTCAACGTGTTAGCCAGGATGGTCTCGATCTCCTGACTTTGTGATCTGCCTGCCTCTGCCTCTGCCTCCCAAAGTGCTCGGATTACAGGTGTGAGCCACTGCTCCTGGCCAGCAATGCATATTCTCTTTTTTTTTTTTTTTTTTTGAGACGGAGTCTTGCTCTGTTGCCCAGGCTGGAATGCAGTGGCCTGATTTCAGCTCACTGCAAGCTCCGCCTCCCAGGTTCACGCCATTCTCCTGCCTCAGCCTCCCGAGTAGCTGGGACTACAGGTGCCCGCCACCACGCCCGGCTAAATTTTTTGTATTTTTAGTAGAGACGGGGTTTCACCATGTTGGCCAGGATGGTCTCAATCTCCTGACCTCGTGATCCGCCCGCCTTGGCCTCTCAAAGTGCTGGGATTACAGGCTTGAGCCACCGTGCCCGGCCCAGCAACGCATATTCTTGAAACATCCACTTTGACCAAATCTCTTCTCTACCTCACAACTCTTGCTGAATTAACTCTTCTTTAGCTTCCTAGACGTTCAACATCTGGCTGGGCTGTATCTGTCCAGCCAGTTTCTCTTCCTTTACATTTATAGCATGTTTCATCTTACATTCAGTCCAGGATCTTAGTAGCCCAAACCCCTGATGCTCATCTCCAAATCTGTGTTTTGCTTGTATTTTTCTTTCTAGAATGAACTCCCCTCTTTGCTCTGTTAATCACAGTCCCTCCTTAAGACACGTTTTTTTGTGCAGCTTTTTTCTGATCCTAGTAGCCTTAATTTCTTTTGTTCCTGAACTCTGTAAAACAGTGTATAGTTTAGCACATACTCATGTGTCAGCTTGTGGTATTGTCTTGTTGAAAGGGGCTGTCAGCCTGGTCATTGGACACGGCCATTTGATACTCTTTGTACCTTCTAAGTGCCTAACATTTAACATCAGTGTTCAATAGAAACGTAGTTGGATTATTTCAAAACTAGGATATTCTGTTCTAGTTGATCTGGGAGGGTAGAGACTAAATTTCCATTTTCTTCTCTCTTGCTTTTAAGTTGGCTAAGTGGAAGACAGCTGAGGAGGTGGCCGCCCTGATCCGATCTCTGCCTGTGGAGGAGCAGCCCAAGCAGATCATTGTCACCAGGAAGGGCATGCTGGACCCACTGGAGGTAAGAGGGTGGGGTGGGGTAGGAGAAAAGAGACCTTGAGACCTTCAGGCTGTTTCTCATCTTGGACTTGATCTTGTCTTAGGTGCACTTACTGGACTTCCCCAATATTGTCATCAAAGGATCGGAGCTCCAACTCCCTTTCCAGGCGTGTCTCAAGGTGGAAAAATTCGGGGATCTCATCCTTAAAGCCACTGAGCCCCAGATGGTTCTCTTCAACCTCTATGACGACTGGCTCAAGACTATTTCATCTTACACGGTATGAACCTCGGGAAGAGAAGATCGCTGGAGGAGGAGCGGGTTTAGGGTTAGGAGAAGATCCTGTGTCAGGTTTTTGCCATTTTCACATTTTTAGCCTATAGATTGGGTGGGAACTCTGTTGACTTTCATGAGAGTTTAAGACCTTAAAGTTAAAAATCAACTCTTGGGGCCGGGCGTGGTGGCTCACGCCCGTAATCCCAGCACTTTGGGAGGCTGAGTTGGGTGAATCACCTGAGGTCAGGAGTTTGAGATCAGGCTGGCCAACATGACGAGACCCCATCTCTACTAAAAATACAACAAAATTAGCCGAGTGTGCTGGGATGCACCTGTAGTCCCAGCTACTCGGGAGGCTGAGGCACCAGAATCACTGGAACCCAGGAGGCAGAGGTTGCAGTGAGCCGAGATGGCACCATTGCACTCCAGCCTGGGCGACAGAGTAAGACTGTCTAAAAAAAAAAAAAAAAAGGCCGGGCGCAGTGGCTCACGCCTGTAATCCCAGCACTTTGGGAGGCCGAGGCGGCGGATCACGAGGTCAGGAGATTGAGACCATCCTGGCTAACACAGTGAAACCCCATCTCTACTAAAAATACAAAAAATTAGCCGGGCGTGGTGGCAGGTGCCTGTCATCCCAGCTATTCGGGAGGCTGAGGCAGGAGAATGGTATGAACCTGGGAGGCGGAGCTTGCAGTGAGCCGAGATCATGCCACTGCACTCCAGCCTGGGCGACAGAGCAAGACTCTGTCTCAAAAGAAAAAAAAAAAATTCTTGGGTTTCATGAAAGGTTAGGATTAAAGTGGGAGAGCCTCAAGCAGCTGACCTACCCCACTCTTCCAAATCTTTTCCCAGGCCTTCTCCCGTCTCATCCTGATTCTGCGTGCCCTACATGTGAACAACGATCGGGCAAAAGTGATCCTGAAGCCAGACAAGACTACTATTACAGAACCACACCACATCTGGCCCACTCTGACTGACGAAGAATGGATCAAGGTCGAGGTGCAGCTCAAGGATCTGATCTTGGCTGACTACGGCAAGAAAAACAAGTGAGCAGTGCTGGTGGGGACACAGACAGGAGGTCTATATACGGTTTTCTGGGGTTTTTTGGAAGCACTTAGGCTTAGAAGTTTCTCAAGAAGGCCAGGCGCGGTGGCTCATGCCTGTAATCCCAGCACTTTGGGAGGCCAAGGTGGGTAGATCATTTGAGGTCAGGAGTTTGAAACCATCCTGGCCAACGTGGTGAAACTCCGTCTCTACTAAAAATACAAAAGTTAGCCGGGTGCGATGGCGCCTACCTGTAATCCCAGCTACTCGGGAGGCTGAGGCAGGAGAATTGCTTGAACCTGGGGGCAGAGGTTGCAGTGAGCCGAGATCATGCCACTGCACTCCAGCCTGGGCGACAAGAGTGAGACTGTCTCCAAAAAAAAAAAAAAAAAAGACGTTTCTCAAGAAATTATCTTGTCTTAGCCAGGCTTGAGTGCTCATGCTAGTAATACCAGCACTTTGGGAGGCCAAGGTGGGAGGATTGCATGAGCCAGGAGTTGAAACCAGCCTGATCAACAAGAGACTGACGCCATCTCTACCAAAAAAAAAAAATTTAAAACAGGTGTGGTGGTACACGCTTGTAGTCCCAGCTTCTTGGAGGCTGAGGCAGGAGGCTTGCTTGAGCCCGGGGGTTTGAGGCTGCAGTGAGCCATGATGATGCCACTGTACTCCAGCCTGGGTAACAGAGCGAGACTCTTGTCTTGAAAACAAGGAAAGAAATTATCTTACAGAGTCTCGAGGAAGAGAGATACAGCAGTGTCTTCGAATAGTATGGGAAGCATCCCTGTTTTAGGGCTTCAGTCTGACTCTTGGCCATTGTTTCTCACTGTTGCCATTTCAAACAGGGCATTTCTTTACTGTCCATACATGGGAAGAATTTTGAACATCCGAGACCCTAAGTATCCGAGACTGCTGCCAACACACACACACACCTTCCTCCCCTCGTCTCCCTCCCTGTCATCGTGGCAACCAAAATTATCCATAGGGTGACGGACAATACCACCTCTGATTAAGAACCAGTATTCTAGGGTTTCTGGGGTTTCCATTTCTGAGAACAGTTCCATGCCAGAGCATTGTTTTGGTCAAGGAAGCGTAGGGTTTATGGATGCTAAACAGTGGGAAGGTGCACACGCAGTGTGCTGTCCCGCTTGGATCTGACGAATCTTGGAAGTGTTAGTGCACCTCCGTTTCACACTTCCTGTAGAAGCAGCTCTTGTGGATTGTCTGGGGCGTGAGTATAGGCTGTCCTGTCCTACCAAGTTACACCCTTTCCATTGAGGCAGAAGTGACCAAGGGGAAGGGATCCTTGTAATATAACCCACACCATCCCCACAGTGTGAACGTGGCATCACTGACACAATCAGAAATTCGAGACATCATCCTGGGTATGGAGATCTCGGCACCGTCACAGCAGCGGCAGCAGATCGCTGAGATCGAGAAGCAGACCAAGGAACAATCGCAGCTGACGGCAACACAGACTCGCACTGTCAACAAGCATGGCGATGAGATCATCACCTCCACCACCAGCAACTATGAGACCCAGACTTTCTCATCCAAGACTGAGTGGAGGGTCAGGTACTGTCGGGCAAGAGGGTGGGGATGGAAAGGCCGGCTGCACTACCTAAGGTGCTGGGCTGAGCGATGCTGACACTCCCTGCCTGTTTTTAGGGCCATCTCTGCTGCCAACCTGCACCTAAGGACCAATCACATCTATGTTTCATCTGACGACATCAAGGAGACTGGCTACACCTACATCCTTCCCAAGAATGTGCTTAAGAAGTTCATCTGCATATCTGACCTTCGGGCCCAAGTGAGTAAGTGGACTCAGCTAGGCCACAGTGTGTGCCCAACTCATTTTGTGCCTAAAACTCAGACCTGAGATTGTCTGGAACTTGAGATGCTGGTTTCAAGATTCATGGATGAGTAATTATACAAGGATAGCCAAAACAACGAGGTGGGTTTTGGCCCCATGAGATAGCAAAAGCTGTGGCAGCTGAGAGAAGGTAGTAATTGTAGTATTGGCCTGATAGTATTTGGAAGAGAACAGATATGGTCAGAAACAAATTCCTGACCAGGTGTGCGTGCTGGCTCATGCCTGTAATCCCAACACTCGGCTGGGCACAGTGGCTAATGCCTATAATCCCAGCACTTTGGGAGGCCTAGGTGGGTGGATCACCTGAGGTCAGGGGTTTGAGACCAGCCTGACCAATATGGTGAAACCCTGTCTCTACTAAAAATACAAAAAATTAGCCAGGCATGGTGGCATGCGCCCGTAGTTGCAGCTACTAGGGAGGTTGAGACAGGAGAATTGCTTGAACCCGGGAGGTGAGGTGGAGCTTGCAGTGAGCCAAGATTGCATCACTGCACTCCAGCCTGGGCAACAGAGCAAGACCCCGTCTAAAAAAACAAAACCAAAAAAAACGTGGCTGTAGTCCCAGCTACTCAGGAGGATGAGGTTGCTTGAACGCAAGCAGTGAGCTTTGATGACCCCACTGCACTCCAGGCTGGGCACAGTGGCTCATGACTGTAATCCCAGCACTGTGGGAGGCCGAGGTGGGCAGATCTTTTGAGCCCAGGAGTTCGAGACCAGCCTGGGCAACATGACGAAATGGAGTCTCTACAAAAAAAAAAAAAAAAAACTAGCCAGGCATGGTGGCATACACCTGTAATCTCAGCTACTCAGGAGGCTGAGGTGGGAGGATCACCTGATCCTGGAGGGTGGTGAGTGTAGTGAGCTGAGATCATGTCACTGCCTGCTAGCCTGGGTGACAGAGTGATACCCTGCTTCAAAAAAGAGAAAAGATGCATAACTTTACTAGTGTATCAGGGATATTATAGTTTATAAAACATCATTTTGGGCCAAGGTGGGTGAATCACTTGAGGTCAGGAGTTCAAGACCAGCTTGGCCAACGTGGCGAAACCCCGTCTCTCTTAAATATATGAAAATTAGCGGGGCATGGTGGCATGTGCCTGTAGTCCCAGCTACTCAGGAAGCTGAGGCAGGAGAATTGCTTGAACCCAGGAGGCGGAGGTCGCAGTGAGCTGAGATCACACCACTGCACTCCAGCCTTGCTGACAGAGTGAGACTCCATCTCAAACCCACTATTTAGTGGCTGTCAGGTTGGCAAATTTGAAAAGATTGTTAATATCCTGTGTGGGTGAGTTTATAGTAAACAGATCCTCTTTCTTTCTTGGTGATAATGTAAAACTTAAAATAGCACCAAGTGCTGGTTTTCCAGATGTTTTCAGCTTGTGAAAATACACTGAGCTGCATGTGTGCTCATTTGCTTGTGAATACTATGCTTAATAATCAGCTGGGGAGCTTGTGAGCAGTGCAGATTCCTGGACCCCACTCAGGAGATTCTGATGTGGTAAGTCCGCGATGAGGTCCATGTCTAACATTTTGAACAAGCACCCCAGCTGATTCTGATACAGGGGGTTCTGATCACGTTTTAAGAAACTCTGTCCTCGTTCTTGGGGGAAGGAAGGAAACAGAGGGCTGGCAGCTCCAACTCTGACCTGGTACTAAGAAGAGTTTTGGTTCCTGACCCCTTTGTCTCCAGATTGCAGGATACCTATATGGGGTGAGCCCACCAGATAACCCCCAGGTGAAGGAGATCCGCTGCATTGTGATGGTGCCGCAGTGGGGCACTCACCAGACCGTGCACCTGCCTGGCCAGCTGCCCCAGCATGAGTACCTCAAGGTAATGGGGAGTGATGGAGCCTGGGAGTGTGGAAAAGCTGGTGCGATTCCTGTCTGTGGATGGGATTCAGCTCTGTACTCCTCTTTACCTATAGGAGATGGAACCCTTAGGTTGGATCCACACTCAGCCCAATGAGTCCCCGCAGTTATCACCCCAGGATGTCACCACCCATGCCAAGATCATGGCTGACAACCCATCTTGGGATGGCGAGAAGACCATTATCATCACATGCAGGTGGGCCTGGGCTCCTTGGGAGGAAGTATGGTGGGGCAGGGATTGCAGGCCAGGGCCCAGAACAGTGGCCTGAGCTGTTACTCTGTCCTCGTTCCTCCCCCAGCTTCACGCCAGGCTCCTGTACACTGACGGCCTACAAGCTGACCCCCAGTGGCTACGAATGGGGCCGCCAGAACACAGACAAGGGCAACAACCCCAAGGGCTACCTGCCTTCACACTATGAGAGGGTGCAGATGCTGCTGTCGGACCGTTTCCTTGGCTTCTTCATGGTCCCTGCCCAGTCCTCGTGGAACTACAACTTCATGGGTAAGTGGGAGGAGCCTGGGGATGTGGGGATAGCAGTAGGGATAAGGTGAGGCCATCGCCCTTTGCACTTGGGGCCTGGCTGGCTTGGAGGTGGCGCAGGCTGCATGAGGCAGGAGCCCTGTTAACATTGGCTGTTTCCTTCTCCCCGAAGGTGTTCGGCATGACCCCAACATGAAATATGAGCTACAGCTGGCGAACCCCAAAGAGTTCTACCACGAGGTGCACAGGCCCTCTCACTTCCTCAACTTTGCTCTCCTGCAGGAGGGGGAGGTTTACTCTGCGGATCGGGAGGACCTGTATGCCTGACCGTTTCCCTGCCTCCTGCTTCAGCCTCCCGAGGCCGAAGCCTCAGCCCCTCCAGACAGGCCGCTGACATTCAGCAGTTTGGCCTCTTTCCCTCTGTCTGTGCTTGTGTTGTTGACCTCCTGATGGCTTGTCATCCTGAATAAAATATAATAATAAATTTTGTATAAATAGGAGTTCAGGGGCTGGTTTGTTTTTTTTTTCCCCCCCAAACTCAAATTCTGGATTTAGGTCTAACAGGAGGCTGGACTGGAGCGGTTCACAGCAAGATGCTGGGCTCGGCTGTGAAGGGGGGAGTATGAGGCCCCCTTCCTATTCAGGGCTTTGGGGTAGATAGCCCCTGGACTCAGTGGAGACCTGAGGCAGGGCTGGGCTTTCACACTCCGCTGCCTTGACCACATTTGCTGCTTTTTCCACAAAACTACTTGGAAGCTCTCGCCTCCTTTCCACAGTTTTGGGAGCAGTTGCCCTTTCCCGGGTCTAGGAACTCTGTGGCTTGTGCTGAGCGGCTGCGGTGTCCAGCCCAGCCCTTTAAGCTTTCTGTGTCAGTCCTGGTCAGGAAAACAAGCACACAGGCAGGCAGTTTGTGTACAGCCGGGCGGAGGCCAGAGACCGGCTGCCTACCTGTCACCTCTCGCCTGGAGCGGGCCACTGCCAAGTTGGCCCCATGACTCCAAACGGGCGGAGCCTGGATTGGGCCTGTGGGGAGGGCTCCACTCAAGTGACCACTTGCAGCCCTGAACCTCAGCTCTTGGACGCCTGGCTGGAAGTTGGCTGTCTTGTTTCCTGTGACCTTGGGGGTGGAAAGGACAGAGCCCAGGCGACCTAGGGCACTATCTCCCTACCCCACGCCTTCTCCCTTCCTCGTTCCTCCCTACCCTTATCGCTTCTACCCCGCCCACACCGCCCTAAACGGCTTCCTGGGGCGGAACTGTTTCGCTTTTCCCCGTCCCAGTGGAGGGTGGGGTGGGGGGGTCGCAGCCCTAAGCCTCTGGGAGACATGGAGCCCAGGAGGGCGGCGCCCGGGGTGCCTGGCTGGGGGTCTCGGGAGGCCGCGGGGTCGGCATCGGCCGCGGAGCTTGTGTACCATCTAGCCGGGGCCCTGGGCACTGAGCTGCAGGATCTGGCGCGCCGTTTCGGGCCGGAGGCGGCGGCCGGGCTGGTGCCGCTAGTGGTGCGGGCGCTGGAGCTCTTGGAACAGGCTGCCGTGGGGCCCGCCCCGGACTCGGTGAGTCATGGCCCTCCCTTCGCCACCCACGGGGCCGGCAGGGCCGAAGCCTGAGACCCGGGTCTCCCCAGCTGCAGGTGTCGGCGCAGCCGGCGGAGCAGGAGCTGCGGCGGCTGCGGGAGGAGAACGAGCGCCTCCGCAGGGAGCTGCGCGCGGGGCCACAGGGTAAGCGCAGCCCCGGCCAGGGCAGGGCGGGTGACGACCTGCTCGGGTCCTCCCCTCCCTCCCGCGGGCCGCGCGCCGCCGCCGCTAAGAACGCCCCTTCCTCAGAGGAGCGCGCGCTGCTGCGGCAGCTCAAGGAGGTCACGGACCGACAGCGGGACGAACTCCGGGCGCACAACCGCGACCTGCGGCAGCGCGGCCAGGAGACCGAGGCGGTGAGGGCGGGGCGGGGCTCTGGGGCGGGGCGGGGGCGGAGCGTGGCAGGCGCTGGGCGGGGCTCCGGGGGCGGGGGCGGAGCGAGGCAGGCGCTGGGCGGGGCTCCGGGGGGCCCTCGGTGCCCCGCCCACCCCACCCTTTGCTCCGCTCCCAGTTGCAGGAGCAGCTGCAGCGCCTCCTGCTGGTGAACGCTGAGCTGCGGCACAAGCTGGCGGCCATGCAGACCCAGCTGCGCGCCGCGCAGGACCGCGAGAGGGAGCGCCAGCAGCCTGGCGAAGCCGCGACTCCGCAGGCTAAAGAGCGAGCGCGGGGGCAGGCCGGGCGGCCCGGGCACCAGCACGGACAGGAGCCCGAATGGGCGACCGCCGGCGCAGGCGCCCCAGGGAACCCTGAGGACCCGGTGAGTGCCGTATGAGGGCAAGGACCCAGCCCAGGACGCAGCGTCCAGCCCTCGGTGGGCACTCAAGCAAGGTTTGCATGCTGCACAGCAGGTCGGCCAGGAAGCGGGGAGGTGGCAGACAGATCTGCGCCCCCGGCCGGCCTCGGCCCCCGCTCTCAGCTGGAGCACTGCTCTGTTATCTGTTAGGGCACCCTTGTCCCCCAAGTCTCCCGGCCCGTCACTTCCTCTAGCATTCCCATGATGGCCCTGGGGCGGGGGAACGCCAGCCGAGGCGACCCTCTGACTGTGCCTGTCCTTCCAAAGGCGGAGGCCGCGCAGCAGCTCGGGCGCCCCTCGGAGGCAGGGCAGTGCCGCTTCAGTCGGGAGGAGTTTGAGCAGATCCTTCAGGAGCGGAATGAACTCAAAGCCAAAGTGTTCCTGCTCAAGGAGGAACTGGCCTACTTCCAGCGGTGAGGACGCTGGGAAGCCGGGGGGCCTCCGATCACCCCACCTCATTCTCCAGTCATTGACATGTCCACAGTGACATGTGCCAGGCCTGCGCTGGGAACTGGGAGGACATGAATTGTACAGCCCTTGCCCTCCTGCAATGTCATCCAGACAGGGGAGAGGGACAGTACAAAGGGTTGCAGCTGCAGCAGCCAGGGAATCTCTCCTAGGAGGGGGCCACGGGGCCACCTAATTTAAGGTCTGAGGGTGTCAGCAAGGCAGAGCGCTTCCCGTGTTCAGGGAAGAGCTGCGTGCACAGGTACCAGGAGTGAGGACTGCGGCTGGCATCTCCACTGCTGGCATCCCCATGGCTGGCATCACCAGGGCTTTCTCCCTCCCTGCCCCTTTTCTTTAGGGAGCTGCTCACAGACCACCGGGTCCCCGGCCTTCTGCTCGAGGCCATGAAGGTGGCTGTCCGGAAGCAGCGGAAGAAGATCAAGGCCAAGATGTTAGGGACACCAGAGGAAGCAGAGAGCAGGTAGGTCCCTGCCTGCATTCCCACGGAGCCAGGCCTCCCTCCCTCATTCTGCTGAGCCTGATGACCCAGCCTGGTCACCCTCTGAGCCCATTGTCTCAGACTGAGGCTGTCACCCCAACCCGGTCACCCCTTGAGCCTCCCTAGCCTGGCCGCTTCTAGGGCCTGCTGACCTGCTCTGGCTGTGTCCCATGGCCGCTGTCCAGCCTGCGCCCTTCTCCCTGGATCTCACCACTCCCCTTGCCTTGCCTGCCATCCATTCTGCCTGACAACACTGCCTCTCCACATTCATTCTTCAAGTTCCTGTCTTGGCTGGGTCTGTTTATTCTTACGGGGGTGAAACTGTAGCCGCGGCTGTGTCAGGGCCTGCTGTGTGTCAAGCTATAAAATAAACCCTTGGCAGGGCGCGGTGGCTCACGCCTGTAATCCCAGCACTTTGAGAGGCTAAGGTGGGTAGATCACCTGAGGTCAGGAGTTCGAGACCAGCGTGGCCAACATGGTGAAACTCCGTCTCTACTAAAAATACAAAAATTAGCCGGGCATGGTGGCATGTGCCTATAATCCCAGCTACTCAGGAGGCTGCGGCAGGAGAATCGCTTGAACTTGGGAGGCGGAGGTTGCAGTGAGCTGAGATCGCACCACTGCACTCCAGCCTGGGCGACAGAGTGAGACCCTGTCTCAAAAAAAAAAAAATTAAAAATTAAAGGCTCGACATCCTGCATCTCCCCAGGGTTGCCTTCTCTCCAGCCCCGGGGGCCCTGCAGTCCCTCCATCCCCCCTGCTGGATTCCTGTTGTCCCTCAGGGCCTTGATCAATGGCCCTCACTTCTCCTCTCTCCTCTGTCTCAGTGAGGATGAGGCTGGCCCATGGATCCTGCTCTCCGATGACAAGGGAGACCATCCCCCACCCCCGGAGTCCAAAATACAGAGTTTGTATGTTGGGGAAAGGGGAAAGGCAAGAGTGTGGGGAGGGAGGAAGGGCCCTGGCTGGTCCTTCTCAGGATCCCCTTTCCCGCTTCTCTGCCCGTCACCCTGCTGTGCTTGGCTCTAAGCACACCGTCCCCTCCTGCTTCTCTGGCCCTGGCCCCCATCACCTTCACACTCCCTCAGGCTGCCCTTTCTTCCCCCTCTCCCCTTTTCTCACCATCCCCTGCCCTCACCCATATCCTTGACCTCTCTGGCTTCCTGGCTCAAAGTGCCTCTGGCTGTCTCTCTCCAGCTTTGGCCTATGGTATCGGGGTAAAGCTGAATCCTCTGAGGATGAGACCAGCAGCCCTGCACCCAGCAAGCTAGGGGGAGAAGAGGAGGCCCAACCACAGTCTCCAGCTCCTGATCCGCCCTGTTCTGCCCTCCACGAACACCTTTGTCTGGGGGCCTCAGCCGCCCCAGAGGCCTGACTTAGGGGTCTGGCTGTGGAAGGATGTGTGGCCTCAAATGAGGACAGGGCTCCCGCCTTCACAGCCCTCGCCAGGGGTCTGCCCCAATCCTGGCCTGCATCAGGGCAGGACGGGGTCTCAGCCCGCCTCCCTCTCTACGTCTCTGTACCGAGCCTCTGGGGCCAGATATAAGAGTGCCTCTCTGAGTCTCAGTTTCCCCATCCATGAAATGAGAGCTGACTGCCTAGCTCCCAGGGCTTTGTGCAGACGGCCTGAGCTCATGTAATAAAGAACTGCCCGTAATACACAGAAACTGTTCCTCGCCTGTCTGTCCATGTCTGTGCCACCTCCCAACCCTGCCAGGAGCAGAGGCAGGCTGAGGGGTCCTCGCTGGTCTCCTTGCTCAGTCACTGGGTGGGGTGGCTTCTTGCAGCTCAGGCCTTGCTTTGGGAGTGTGGCCTGATGGAAAGCCGTGGCTCCCAGCCTCAGTCCACCCCCTTCCCTGGCCCCGGCACCCAGGGACCTGCAACTTCATTCTTCTGGCCCTTCCAGGCCCAGGCCAGTCAGCCCTGCCATTGCCTTTCTTTCCCTTTCTTTTTTTGAGTGTCAGTCTTTCCAGCCACCCCCTCCCTCTCAGGGAGGTGCCTCGTGGCAGCCCGCCCCTCCGGCCTGGTTTCCTCAGGAAAAGCCCTGAGAGGAAGCAGGGAGGGGGTTGGGAGCTGTGGGGGCCAGACGAACCCGAGCGCTCCCACCGAGCTGCCTGCCATGGGGCTGGGGCTGCTGCTCCCGCTGCTGCTGCTCTGGACTCGGGGGACTCAGGGGTCCGAGCTGGACCCCAAAGGGCAGCACGTCTGTGTGGCCAGCAGGTGGGTCTCGTGGGAGTCTGATGCGTGTGGCCAGCAGGTGGGTCTCGTGGGAGTCTGATGCGGGTGGCTGAACCGGTGTTGAGGCCGTTAGGGGAAGGAGGAGACTAGGAAGGGGGCTTAGGCTGAAAGGAAGGGACTGCTGATGGCGGTCTGGCAGGTAGTGGCCAGCCAGGGCAGATGGTGGAAGGGTCAGGGAAGGAGAGGGGAGGGGCTGGGGACCCTAGCTGTAAAGATCCATTAGGCCTCCCCAGGGGGCTAAGGCAGCCTCCCCCACTGCAGCCAGAGACAGTGATCCACCTTCCTCAGGGCCAGGCTGCACCCCCCACCATGTCCGGCTGACCCCTTTTTGCCCCACAGCCCCTCTGCTGAGCTGCAGTGCTGCGCAGGCTGGAGGCAGAAGGATCAAGAATGCACCATCCGTGAGTAGCCAGGACAGACCCTCAGCCAAGGAGAAGGGAGGCCGTAGCCCAGTGACAACCCTTCCTTCCTACCCCATGGGGCCTGCCCCTCCTGATACCAGGAGTCAGGGTTTCTCCTGTGACGCACCCCCAGGCCTGAAGGGGCACCTCTTGAGGAGGCATGGCCCCTGGAGCCAGTGAGAGGGCAGGGGTGTCCCCTGGTCCTGCTCCCGTCTTTCCAACCTGGGTGGGGTGTCTTTCAGCCATCTGTGAGGGGCCGGACGCCTGCCAGAAAGACGAGGTGTGTGTGAAGCCGGGCCTCTGTCGATGCAAGCCTGGATTCTTTGGGGCCCACTGCAGCTCCCGTGAGTCTCAAGGGCCAGATGAAGTTGCTGGGCAGAGCTGGGTACGGGGGCAGTGGTGTGGGAGCAGGCGAGGCAGGTAGCCATGCAGCCTCAGGACAGCAGGGCCAGAATCCCCCCCAGCTTCACTGAGGAATTGCGGTCCAGAGACAGGAAGTGACACACACTCCCGGGAGATGACCTGAGTCACCGGGTTTTTACCCACATCCACAAAGCACTGCCCACCTGAGCATCTTCCTCTTCCACTTCTCAGAAAACCTGTGATTCCCCTTCATTGTAAAATGAGTGTATTACTTGCCTTTCCCACATATACCTTATACATGGGCAGTGGATGGAAGGGGGCCCCTGGCTGGGCTCTCTGCCCTCTCTGGCAGAAAGAGAGGGAAGGGAAAGGGGTTGGGAAGCAGGAGAGCCAGAGGGTGGGCATCAGGAATCAAGGAATCACTAGGGGAAAGGTGGCTTCTCCCGACACCCTGGCGGGCAGTATCCAGGCCTGAGATCAGGAGAAAGCCAGCTCTCCTCCAGCCCAGCAGAGATCCATCTCGGCAGGGAGGAGCAGGCATGGAGGAAGGCCCACCAACCTCGGTGCCACGCTCTGGGCAAGTCCCCTGCCCACTCAGGATCTCTGAGTGTGTTCTGGAATGTGAAGTGGCAGGCTGAGCCTCCCACTAATGGCTAAGGGTTTTCTGTAGGTCAGAGCGGAGCAGGAAGTGAGTGTTGCCCAGGACAGGCTGCCGGATGTTCTGAGGGTCTGTCCCCGGCTCTTGGAGGATGGGCCCAGCGCCCCTTTTCCTTGAGGAAGGGGACGCAGGGTAAGGGTCTGCGCGCGGCCCTGAGCCCGCTGACCCCTCCCGTCCCCACCCCCGCAGGCTGCCCGGGCCAGTACTGGGGCCCCGACTGCCGTGAGAGCTGCCCCTGCCACCCGCACGGCCAGTGCGAGCCAGCCACGGGCGCGTGCCAGTGCCAGGCCGACCGCTGGGGAGCCCGCTGCGAGTTCCCGTGCGCCTGCGGCCCCCACGGGCGCTGCGACCCCGCGACCGGCGTGTGCCACTGCGAACCCGGCTGGTGGTCGTCCACGTGCCGCCGCCCGTGCCAGTGCAACACCGCGGCGGCGCGCTGCGAGCAGGCCACGGGCGCCTGCGTGTGCAAGCCGGGCTGGTGGGGGCGCCGCTGCAGCTTCCGCTGCAACTGCCACGGCTCCCCGTGCGAGCAGGACTCCGGCCGCTGCGCCTGCCGGCCGGGCTGGTGGGGTCCCGAATGCCAGCAGCAGTGCGAGTGTGTGCGGGGCCGCTGCAGCGCCGCCTCCGGCGAGTGCACCTGCCCGCCCGGCTTCCGCGGAGCGCGCTGCGAGCTGCCCTGCCCGGCAGGCAGCCACGGGGTGCAGTGCGCACACAGGTGAGCGGGCGGGGCGGGGACAGGTGGGCTGGCGGGGCGGGGGCGGACACAAGTGAGCAGGCGGGGCGGGGCGGAGACAGGGGGGCGGGGCGGAGACAGGGGGCGGGGCGAAGACAGGTGGGCGGGGCGGACACCGGTGGGCGGGGCGGACACCGGTGGGCGGGGCGGGCACCGGTGGGCGGGGCGGACACCGGTGGGCGGGGAGGGGGCGGGGTGGAAACTGGTGAGCGGGCAGGGTGGGGGCGGGGCGGGCACAGGTGAGCGGTCGGGGGAGGGGGCGGAGGCGGACACAGGTGAGCGAGGCTGCGCGGAGACCTGTGAGCGGGCGGGGCGGAGCGGAGACAGGTGGCCGCGGCGGGGCGCCGGGAGGAGGGGTCAGGGCTTCGCGGTGCTCCTCTCAAAAAACATACAAAGCAGAGGAACGAGAAAGGGGAAAAGTCGGATAGGTGGGGTGGCTCACACCTGTAATCCCAGCACTTTGGGAGGCTGAGGCGGGTGCATCACCTGAGGTCAGGAGTTCGAGACCATCCTGGCCAACATGCTGAAACCTCGTCTCTACTAAAAACACAAAAATTAGCCGGGCTGCGCCTGTAGTCCCAGGTATTCGGTAGGCTGAGACAGGAGAATCGCTTGAGCCCTGGAGGCGGAGGTTGCAGTGAGCCGAGGTCGCACCACTGCACTCCAGCCTGGGCCAGAGAGCAAGACTCCGTCTCAAACAAAACAAAACAAAAACTTTTAAAAACGCTTTGTTGCCCCAGGTCCAGCCTCACCTGCTCATTTCATTGATTACTGCTGTGCAAAATATACTAGCACTGCTAGCAAGCCATATGTAGGTAATAAGTGGATCGAGTCCAACAATGATAGACTGGGTTAAGAAAATGTGGCACATATACACCATGGAATACTATGCAGCCATAAAAAATGATGAGTTCATGTCCTTTGTAGGGACATGGAAGAAATTGGAAATCATCATTCTCAGTAAACTATCGCGAGAACAAAAAACCAAACACCGCATATTCTCACTCATAGGTGGGAGTTGAACAATGGAATCACATGGACACAGGAAGGGGAATATCACACTCTGGGGACTGTTGTGGGGTGGGGGGAGGGGGGAGGGATAGCATTGGCAGATATACTTAATGCTAGATGACGAGCTAGTGGGTGCAGCACACCAACATGGCACATGTATACGTATGTAACTAACCTGCACAATGTGCACATGTACCCTAAAACTTAAAGTATAATAATAAAAAAATATATATAAATATATTTAAAAAAAGAAAATTAAAAAAATGGTTTCTTACAAAAAAAATAATAAATAAGTGGATCGAGTGACCAAGGGTCCTGAGCAAGGTCCCTTTAGGGCTCAGTGGCTTTCAAACTTTGACTGGCTGCACTCACAGTAAGAAATTTCATCCCTGGCTGGGCGCGGTGGCTCACGCCTGTAATCCCAGCACTTTGAGAGGCCGAGGCGGGCGGATCACCTGAGGTCAGGAGTTCGAGACCAGCCTGGCTAACATGGTGAAACCTCGTCTCTACTAAAAATACAAAAATTAGCCGGGCATGGTGTTGGGCGCCTGTAATCCCAGCTACTTGGGAGGCTGAGGCAGGAGAATCACTTGAACCCGGGAGGCGGAGGTTGCAGTGAGCCAAGATCGCGCCACTGCACGCCAGCCTGGGCGACAGAGTGAGACTCAGTCTTGAAGAAAATAATAATAAAATAAAATAAGAAATAAAAATGCTGGTCAGGATCAGCTAAATGGCTTTTATAAACTGCCCTTCTTCTCCCCTACTAATGGGTCTGACCCAAGTATATGATCCCAGCTAGTTAAGCATCTGAGGGAGAAACTTCAGGTAACTATTAGGCATCAATGGGAAATTAAGATATGGCAAATGTGAAATTATATTGGTGACAACAGTGGTCTCCAACCTTTTGGCACCAGGGACTGGTTTCATGGCAGACAATTTTTCTATTATTACACTGTAATCTATAATGAAATAATAATATGACTCACCATAATATAGAATCAGTGGGAGCCCTGAGCTTGCTTTCCCGCAGCTCGAGGGTCCCATCTGGGGGTGATGGGAGACAGTGACAGATCATCAGGCATTAGATCCTCGTAAAGAGCATGGAACCTGGACCCTCCCGTGCGCAGTTCACAATAGGACTGGCGCTCCTATGAGAATCTGAGGCCACCACTGATCTGGCTGGCAGCGGAGCTCAGGCGGTCAGGCTCCCCTGCTGGTCATCTCTACGCTGTCGCCCAGTTCCTAACATGCCACGGACTAGTACCAGTCCATGGCCCAGGGTTTGAGGACCCCTGGGTGAAAACACTTTACATTTTTTGCATTTCGTGTGATGGGGTAGAAGACACTACTGAGTCCCATTCATGCCAGACCTGGGGACGGCTCAGTGTGGAAAAAGGAAAAGTGAAAAGAGCAGGAGGGAAGGCCTGGCAGACCTCGCAAATGGGACTCAGAGCTTGGTGGTGACTCGCCTGCCCTGGCTGGGCTGCTGGCTCCTGATGGTCCTGGGACCCAGGGAAAGACGGTCACAGAGCAGATGCCTGGAAGGAAAGGGATGGGATCCTGTAAGAGCCCTCATTTGTCCTCATTGTACAACGTGGGGAAACTGAGGCTCAAACCTGCCTGACCCAGGTGGGACCCGAACACTCTCCAGGGCCCCCGAAGGCCTGCGTGGAGTACAGGGGTAGGAGGGGGTGGGCGCTCCATCCATCCACCCCCACTGTTCCCACGAAGCCCTTCTCTTCCCAGCTGTGGCCGCTGCAAACACAATGAGCCGTGCTCTCCAGACACAGGCAGCTGTGAGTCCTGCGAGCCGGGCTGGAACGGGACCCAGTGCCAGCAGCCCTGCCTGCCTGGCACCTTTGGCGAGAGCTGCGAACAGCAGTGCCCTCACTGCCGACATGGGGAGGCCTGTGAGCCAGATACTGGCCACTGTCAGCGCTGTGACCCTGGCTGGCTGGGGCCCAGGTGAGGGCACCATTCTGTTCAGGGTGGGGTACACCTTCCCCCAGGACCCTCAGCTCAGCGGCTCTCTCCGAGAGCACCACCCTCCCCGACACACAGGTTCATGCGGCCCCAGGGGCCTCCCTCCTGTTGAAGACTGGGGGAGAGCAGTGGGTTCTGGGGGGGCCTGGGCAGGATCCCAGCTCCCTCCCCTCTGAGGCTTCCTGCCCTCCTCGCCCTCTGGGGACTTGTAGTCTGTCACCTGCTGGATTTGGCCCCAAGTTCAAGGCCCTATTTGCACCTGAGCTTCACTGCTGAGGAGTGGCCAGTTGGGTCCTTGAGTCCAGGAGCGTGGGGCGGAGGGGTGGGGCCCCACAGTGGGGGCCAGGCCTGCCTTGGTCTCCCCTTCCCCGAGTCTTGCCTCACCCCAGGTGTGAAGACCCCTGCCCCACTGGTACCTTTGGGGAAGACTGTGGCTCTACCTGCCCCACCTGTGTTCAGGGGTCCTGTGATACTGTGACAGGGGACTGTGTCTGCAGTGCCGGCTACTGGGGGCCCAGGTAAGGATGGGGATCCCGGGGGCGGGAGAGTGCCAGGGGCCTAGGTCAGGGCTCTGTGCAGCATTTCCTGAACTTCCCTGGACAGTGCCCAGAAATCTCCCTGCCCGTCTCCTGCCTGCCTCCCCCACTTCACCCAGCCCTCAGCCTGCCTCTCCATGTCACTCCATAGCTGCAACGCCTCCTGCCCAGCCGGTTTCCATGGAAACAACTGCTCAGTTCCTTGTGAATGCCCAGAGGGACTCTGCCACCCTGTCTCTGGGTCCTGCCAGCCAGGTAAGGTGGAAGAAGGCTGCGGGGTGCAGTAGCCAGGGAAAGGCGGGCCCTTCACATGGGCTCCAGGGCAAGTTCCTCACCAGGGAGTCTGGGCCCACTTCAGAGATATTCTTTTTTTTTTTTTTTTTTCCCTTAAGACGAGGTCTTGCTCTGTCACCCAGGCCAGAGTGCAGTGGTGTGATGTCAGCTCACTGCAACCTCCACCTCCCAGGTTCAAGCCATTCTCCCATCTCAGCCTCTCGAGTAGCTGGGATTACAGGCGCACGCCTCCATGCCTGGCTAATTTTTATATTTTAGTAGAGACAGGGTTTCACCATGTTGGCCAGGCTGGTCTCAAGCTCCTGACCTCAGGTGATCTGCCCACCTCGGCCTCCCAAAGTGCTGGGATTACAGACGTGAGCCACTGTGCCCGGCCCAGAGACATTCTTTATACCTGAGCTCTGTGTGGATGCTCTGGGGCCCCCTGAAGATGTGACAGAGCCCCCGCCCCTGCGAAACCAGGCTAGAGCCGTGAAATGGGCAGCGGGGTGGCTGGACACTGACATGGCCTCAGGGGCAAGAACCTGTGGAGGGGACACGCCAGCAGAGGGGCTGCCCGGAGGCAGGGAGTGACCCCCAGGAAGAAGCTTCTGGGTAGCAGGCAACTCAGAGCAAAGACAGGATGTGTAGGAGACAGGAAGGCCTGAATATCCCCCGTTTCTGGCTCCCCCAGGCTCTGGCAGTCGGGACACTGCCCTCATCGCGGGCAGCCTTGTGCCTCTGCTGCTGCTCTTCCTGGGCCTTGCCTGCTGTGCCTGCTGCTGCTGGGCCCCCCGATCAGACCTCAAGGACAGGTGAACGCCAGCCCGTCCCTTCCCCACACAGCTCAGGCCACAGGGTGGGAGCAGGGGGGCATCTGGTTTCCTTGTGGGGTGGGGAGGGCTGGCCTTGTTGCCCACGTGGGTCAGAGGTGATGGGGGTGGGGAGGGCTGGCCTTGTCGCCCCCGTGGGTCAGAGGTGATGGGGGTGGGGAGGGCTGGCCTTGTCGCCCACGTAGGTCAGAGGTGATGGAGGTAGTTGGCAGTGCCCGTGGCCTGGAGACACTGGAGACACCGGGTCAGCTGCCTGCCCTCCTCGGAAGCCTTCAATGAGGAAGTTTCTGAGTTGCATGGGCACCAGGCTGGCGAACCGGAGCCTGCAGCGGGAGGCAGAAAGCTGACACCGGCGGGGACCAGAGGAGGAGGGCTGGGACCACGGAAGGAGCAGCCCGGCTCTGGGCCAGGAGGGAAAGAGACCAGGCCTCAGATGGCCCACGAAGGAAAGAGACATCAATGTCTGTGCAGTGGTTTAGCAGAGAGTGTAGCTGCCTGAGAGACGGAGAGGGGAGGAAGGGTTGGGCTGGTGGGGCCCGCGCAGGGGGCTTACGCAGAGCTTTGTTCCTTTATGAAACCTCGTCACATTCCAGGCTCCTTTGAGACTCACAGCAGCGTGGAGGTTTGGAACAGGGAGTGTGGGGCCGGGAGGATAAATGTCCTCAATTCCCAGAGGACATTGAGGCCCAAGGTGATCTAGTTGGTACTGGCACACAGGAAGCCCCTCTCCACCTTTTTGGACTCTTTGTCTGGTGCTCTCTTACTAGTTCCTGCCCTAGTCCAATAGCACATCCTCCTCTGTGCTTGTGCGGCATTCACAGAGGAGCAGATACAGTTGCCCCTGGCCCAGGGCATAGAGCCCAGGGTGGGAAGAAGCCCCTCGCAGGGACACGAGGACAGGTGCAAAGGCTGTTGGAGGAACAGTGAAGAGCAGAGCAGTCTCCTCCACATGTGGGGGTAGAGCAGAGTGGGAACAAGGGAAGGCTTCCTGGAGGGGGTGTCATTTGAGACAGGTGCGCCGGGCGCAGTGACTCACGCCTGTAATCCCAGCACTTTGGGAGGCCAAGGTGAGTGGATCACCTGAGGTCAGGAGTTCAAGACCAGCCTGGCCAACATGGTGAAACCCCGTCTCTACTAAAAATACAAAATTAGCCGGGTGTGGTGGTGCACGCCTGTAATCCCAGCTACTCAGGAGGCTGAGGCAGGAGAATCACTTGAATCCAGGAGGCGAAGGTTGCGGTGAGCCAAGATCGTACCACTGCACTCCAGCCTGGGCAACAAAAGCGAGACTCTGTCCCAAAAATAGAGAGAGAGAGAGAGAGAGAAACGTGAGCTGAGGCTCAGCTAGGATGATAATAACAAAGACCTGCCAGGTCCTGCAAAAAGCTCAGATAGATGATAGATAGATGGATAGATATAGATAGATAGATAGATAGATAGATAGATAGATAGATAGATAGGATCTGTTTTACAGATGCGGAAACTGAGGCCTAGGGAGGTGAAGTGTGAACCAGAGTTGTTACTCGGCTGTCTGACTCTAGAGCCACTCTTTGTTCTGTGGCAGGCCTGAATTGTGGGCTCAATCATTTGGATTTTATTCTGTAGTCAATAGAGAGCCACTGAAGCCACTGAAGTAGAGGCAGTCACCCTGTCACACCCTGCCAAGGTGACCCAGGTCACCGTGGGTCTCATGTACTGACCAGTGTCCCTACCCTCCTCCCTCAGGCCAGCGAGAGATGGAGCTACCGTGTCCAGGATGAAGCTGCAGGTCTGGGGGACACTGACCAGCTTGGGCTCCACGCTGCCCTGCCGTTCCCTCAGCTCCCACAAGCTACCCTGGGTGACAGGTCAGTGGGCGCTGGGGGCCGGGGTCTGGGATTGGACAGGGCTTTGCATCAGGTCCTGCAGGCGCCTGATCTGGAGTCTCTACAGTCTCACATCACGACCCGGAGGTCCCCTTCAACCACAGCTTCATCGAGCCGCCCTCTGCCGGCTGGGCCACTGATGACTCCTTCTCATCCGATCCTGAGTCTGGAGAGGCAGATGAGGTTCCTGCCTACTGTGTGCCACCCCAAGAAGGTAGCCCCCCAACAGCCCACATAGCCCCTGAGCAGCCCTGCCCACCACGACCCCCTCTTTAGTCCTCCAGCAAAGTTATTTATTTTTATTTTTTTTTGAGACTGGGTCTTGCTCTGTCGCCAGGCTGGAGTGCAGTGGTGCGATCTCAGCTCACTGCAACCTCTGCCTCCCGGGTTCAAGTGATTCCCCTGCCTCAGCCTCCCAAATAGCTGGGATTACAGGCGTGCACCACCACACACGGCTAATTTTTATATTTTAGTAGAGACCGGGTTTCACCGTGTTAGCCAGGATCGTGATCCACCCGCCTCAGCCTCCCAGAGTGCTGGGATTACAGGCATGAGCCACTGCGCCTGGCCAGCAAACAGTTATTAAGGGCCCATTTTGTGTTAGTCACTGTTCTTGGCTCCGGGCATGCAAGAGATAACAAGACAGATTCCTATCCTCACCAGGCTTAGAGTCAGATGGGCAGTCATCAGACAATGACAGGACACAGTGATATGTGTTTCCATGGGGGACATACAAGTAGGGACTCATTTGCTAGCCATGTTGGGGTGACTGGGGTCAGGGACGATGTGTGTGGCATCCCAGTCGAGTCTAGCAGAATCAGTAGGAGTTGGCCAAGTGAAAGTCAGGGAGAGGAGGGAATGGTGTTTCAGGAAGATGGAACAGCATACACAAAGGCCCAGAGGTGAGAGGGATGTGGCTGTGTGCCATCGAAAGAGTTTTAGCTTGGTAAGAGTGTGACAGTATTTCAAAGTAGGGAGAGGTGGTGAGAAAAGAGTATAGAGACCAGGTGTGGTGACTCACACCTGTGATCCCAGCACTTTGGGAGGCTGAGGCGGGAGGACTGCTTGAGGCCAGGGGTTTGATACCAGCCTGGCCAACATAGTGAGACCCCATCTCTACAATTAAAAAAAAAAAAAGTGTAGAAGTAACAGTGTCTACCTGAATTGGTCCTTCTGCCACTCTCCTCATCCTTGCCCTCTTCCTTGCCCTATTTTTGAGGCCTCCTGGAAGATGCTGAGCTGTGGGTAGGATGCATTGGGGTGGCCAGTTCAGCTCCAGCCAAGCTCTTCTGTCTCCTCTGCCAGGGATGGTCCCTGTGGCCCAGGCAGGGTCGTCAGAGGCCAGCCTGGCTGCAGGTGCTTTCCCGCCCCCTGAGGACGCCTCCACGCCATTCGCCATCCCGCGCACCTCCAGCCTAGCTCGGGCCAAGCGGCCATCGGTCTCCTTCGCGGAAGGTACCAAGTTTGCACCACAGAGTCGCCGAAGCTCAGGGGAGCTCTCCAGCCCGCTCCGAAAGCCCAAGAGGCTCTCCCGGGGGGCGCAGTCGGGTCCTGAGGGCCGGGAAGCCGAAGAGTCCACAGGCCCAGAGGAAGCAGAAGCCCCCGAGTCCTTTCCGGCGGCTGCCAGTCCCGGGGATTCAGCCACTGGCCACCGGCGGCCCCCACTTGGTGGCCGGACAGTGGCTGAGCACGTGGAAGCCATTGAGGGCAGCGTCCAGGAGAGCTCGGGCCCTGTGACCACGATCTACATGCTGGCAGGGAAGCCCCGCGGATCCGAAGGCCCTGTCCGCTCTGTCTTCCGCCATTTTGGTAGCTTCCAGAAAGGCCAGGCGGAAGCCAAGGTCAAGAGGGCCATCCCTAAGCCTCCGCGCCAGGCCCTGAATCGGAAAAAGGGCAGCCCTGGCCTTGCCTCTGGCTCTGTCGGCCAGAGCCCCAACTCAGCCCCAAAAGCTGGGCTTCCTGGGGCCACAGGGCCTATGGCAGTCAGACCAGAGGAAGCGGTCCGGGGGCTGGGGGCTGGCACCGAGAGTTCAAGGAGAGCCCAGGAGCCAGTCTCTGGCTGTGGCTCCCCAGAACAGGATCCCCAGAAGCAGGCTGAAGAGGAAAGGCAGGAGGAACCTGAGTATGAGAATGTTGTACCCATCTCCAGGCCACCAGAACCCTGATGACCTTGAATTTGGGGAGTGGGGAGAGTGGATGGACTAGACTGTGCTGTGTGCTGGAAAATGATCCCGGGGCCAGGACAGACAAACCAGAGCCTCTGCGCCTCCACAGGGAAAAGGCAAGGCTTCCAGGCCAGTTGGCCCAGGCCCCTGGCAGTGCTCCCGGAGGGGCCCAGGAAGGCCTGGGCAGAGACCCTGTAGGATGGGGTCAGGAAGGGTTGCCTGCAGGGACTTTTGCTCTGCTGTCCTGGACCCTGTGTGCCTCATAAGGGCTATTCTTTCTTTCACGTGCAAAACATTTTTCTGAAATAGCAAACAACCTACATGTTTGCTGATAAAAGATTGGCTAAACAAATTTTTTTTTTTTTTTTTGAGACAGAATCTCCCTCTGTCCCCCAGGCTGGAGTGCAGTGGTGCGATCTCGGCTCACTGCAAGCTCTGCCTCCCGGGTTCACGCCCTTCTCCTGCCTCAGCCTCCCGAGTAGCTGGGACTACAGGTGCCCTCCACCACGCTTGGCTAATTTTTTTGTATATTTAATAGAGACAGGGTTTCACCATGTTAGCCAGGATGGTCTCGATCTCCTGACCTCGTGATCCACCTGCCTCGGCCTCCCAAAGTGCTGGGATGACAGGCATGAGCCACCACGCCTGGTCTATGAACTTTTTAAAAAGGATGTATGTGTATAAAAACAGATTCAAGGGAAAGGCACTAAATGGTTTTTTCCTCTGGAAGATGAGATTGTAGGTGATATTTATTTTCTTCTGAAACTTTTGTATAGTTTGCAAATTTTCTACAGTGAACATTCTTTTTTACTTTTGTTACTAGATTGAATTTGATAAAGTATAATAAAAAGCAATGATCTTTGTTAAAAAAATAAAAAGTACTAACATTACAGACATGTATAAAGTAAAACGGAGATTTCCTTTCTCCCCAGAGGCGTCTGTGGGTCAAGAGAGAGGTAGAATCTACTTTTCCCTGGCAGCTTTTTGGTCTTGTTTGAATTCTTTGCTCACATATTACCTAGTCAGAAAAGAAAAGGGGCAACCCTCCCCCCGAGCTTTATTTTTTTTTTTTTTAAGATGGAGTCTCAGTCTGTCACCCAGGCCGGAGTGCAGTGGTATGATCTCGGCTCACTGCCACCTCTGTCTCCCCGGTTCAAGCGATTCTCCTGCCTCAGCCTCCTGAGTGGCTGGGATTACAAGCGCCCGCCACCATGCCCGGCTAATTTTTGTATTTTTTGGTGGAGACAGGGTTTCACCATGTTGGCCAGGCTGGTCTTGAACTCCCAAACTCAAGGGCTCCACAGCTTCGGCCTCCCAGAGTGTTGGGATTATAGGCATGAGCCACCGCGCCCGGCCAGGGGCAGCCCCTTCTATCTCAGTGCTCAGAGAGTCTCATCAACAGTTGAGGTGCTTTCTTTCAGATGTTTTTCTGTGTACATGTCAACAAATATTTTAAACAAAAAATTTTAGCATACTAAGCATACTGTTCCTCAGCTTCTTTTTTTTTTTTTTTTTTTCTTTTTGAGACGAAGTTTTGCTCTGTTGCCCAGGCTGGAGTGCAGTGGTGCAATCTCAGCTCACTGCAACCTCTGCCTCCCGGGTTCAAGCGATTCTCCTGCCTCAGCCTGCTGAGTAGCTGCAATTACAGGTGTGTGCCACCACACCCAGCTAATTTTTGTATTAGTAGAGATGGGGTTTCACCATGTTGGCCAGGCTGTTCTCGAACTCCTGACCCGCCTTGGTCTCCCGAAGTGCTGGGATTACAAGCGTGAGCCACCGCGGCCAGCCTCAACTTGCTTTTTTACTTAACGACATATCCTGGATATAGTTCAATGTCCATAAATGTAAAGCTAACTCTCTTTATTTAAAAAATGACTACATGAGATTCCATCTAGCACAATTATTTAAATCATTCCCCCGCCAATGGAAGGTTGGGTTGTTCTGATCTGTTTTGATACAATAAGCAATGACATAGTATACAACTTTGTCCATATTTATTTATTTATTTATTTTTTGAGATGGAGTTTCACTCTTGTTGCCCAGGCTGGAGTGCAATGGCACGATCTCAGCTCACTGCAACCTCGGCCTCCTAGGTTCAAGCGATTCTCCTGCCTCAGCCTCTCGAGTAGCCGGGACTACAGGCGCATGCCACCACGTGCAGCTAATTTTTTTGCATTTTTAGTAGAGATGGAGTTTTGCCATGTTGGCCAGGTTGCTCTCGAACTCCTGACCTCAGAAGATCTTCCCACCTTGGCCTCCTAAAGTGCCGAGATTACAGGTGTGAGCCACTGTGCCCAGCCACTAAAGCTTCTAAAAAGTATATATAATTTTTGTGTGTGTGTTTAGCCATCAACAATTATATCTCATTACAATTTAAAGTTCTATGAGTATTCTAAGGTTGTTTCTTTTCCGTCTTGGCTCACTGCAACCTCCGCCTCCCAGGTTCAAGCCATTCTTGTGCCTCAGCCTCCTGAGTAGCTGGAATTACAGGCGCCCACCACCATGCCCAGCTAATTTTTGTACTTTTTGTAGAGATGGGGTTTTGCCATGTTGGCCAGGCTGGTCTCGAACTCCTGACCTCAGGTGATCCACCCACCTCAGCCTCCCAAAGTGCTGGGATTCCAGGTGTGAGCCACCGCACCTGGCCATTTGCCCCTTTTCAGGAGTTCATGTTTTCATTCCACAAACTCATATTGTGCAACTGCTTTGTGCTTGCTTCTCTATCAAGGGCTGGTCATACAAAGTTGAATAAGACACCGTCCTGCCCCCAAAGAGTTCATAGTCAATTAGAGAGGAAGGCAAACAGACGAATAGCTAATTATAAAACAATGCCAGCAGTGGACAAATAAAGTGAACAGTATTAATGGGGAGTGGTTAGGGAAGGCTTCCCAGCGGAGGTGCCGTCCAAAATGAGGCTATGTCGCGAGCTAGAGGAGAGAGAACAGCAGGTGCAGAAACCACAGGCAATTCCATGTGACTGGAGCATCGGGGACCAGGCAGGTCAGATGTCCTTCAGAGGGAGGGAGAGGGAGGAGCCTGTGTGGGTCAAATTGGGGAACTGGAACTTTTAAATTTTGTTTATTTTTTTGAGACGGAGTCTCGCTTTGTTGCCCAGGCTGGAGTACAGTGGCACAATCTCTGCTCACCGCAACCTCTGCCTCCCCAGCTCAAGCAATTCTCCTGCCTCAGCCTCCCAGGTAGCTGGGATTACAGGCGTGTGCCACATCACCCAGATCTTTTTTTTTTTTTTTCTTTTCAGACAAAGTTTCGCTCTTGTTGCCCAGGCTGGAGTGCAGTGGCACGATCTCGGCTCACTTCAACTTCCGCCTCCCAGGTTCAAGTGATTCTCCTGCCTCAGCCTCCAGAGTAGCCGGGATTACAGGTGTGCGCCACCACACCCAGCTAATTTTTTGTTTCTTTAGTAGAGACAGGGTTTCACCATCTTGGCCAGACTGGTATCGTACTCCTGATCTTGTGATCTGCCCACCTCGGCCTCCCAAAGTGCTGGGATTACAGGCGTGAGCCACCGCGCCCAGCCATTTTTGTATTTTTAGTAGAGACAGGGTTTCACCATGTTGGCCAGGCTGGTCTTTAACTCCTGACCTCAAGTGATCTGCCCGCCTCAGCCTCCCGAAGTGCTGGTATTACAGGTGTGAGCCACCGTGCCCAGCCAGGAACTGGAACTTTATCCTGTTTTACAAATAATAGTTTCTGAAGGATTTTGGCAGAAGTCACATTTACATTTCCCTTAGTGCCCTGGGATGAGATGGGGGCTGGATTTGAGGAACTGAAATCTGAAGGTGGCTCAACAACAGTAGTTGCGGGCCTAAGGGCACAGATGGACCGATTAGGTAAATATGTAGGAGATACAGCTGTATCAGTTTGATGGGGATGCGGTGAGGGAGAGGCAGAATCACAGCGACTGCCTAACAAATGTCTGATGAAAGGATGGTTCTCAGCAGGGCACTGTGAGTCATGCCTGTAATCCCTGCACTTTGGGAGGCTGAGGTGGGAGGATCACTTGAGCCCAAGACTTCAAGACCAGCCTGGGCAACAGGGCAAGACCCTATCTGTACAAAAAATACAAAAATTAGCCAAGTGTGGTAGCATGCACCTGTGGTCCCAGCTACTTGGGAGGCTGAGGCAGGAGGATCACCTAAGCCCAGGAGGTCGAGGCTGCAGTGAGCTATGATCATGCCACCACACTCCAGCAGTCTGGGTGCCTGAGATCCTGTCTCAAAAAAAAAAAAAAAAAAAGAAAAAGAAAAAAGACAGGGTTCTTGGTATCTAACTTCAGTAGACAGTAGTAGTATGGTTATCTGAGAGAAAATGTGGAGGACAGTTCTGGGGGATATTTGAGGCATGTTTGAGCCCTGCAGCGCCGTCAGGCTGCTCAAAGAGGAGGGAAGGGTGAAGAAAGAGATTTTTCAGATGGCAGTTGAAACCTTGGGAGTGGGAAGGGTTCCACAGGGTGAGGAACCGGGTAGGCTACCAGCTGGAGCCGCCCCCCAGCAGGCTGACAGCTCCAAGCGTTGTCTGGGGGAGGTTGCCCTCGCCAGGTGGCCCGGGCGGATTCTAGACAGTAGGGGGCACACTCGGACTGGGGCAGGTGGAGCAAGAGGCGTTTGGGGCTCCCACAGCCCTGGGGTGGTGGTGGGGTTTTATTTTTGGTTTTTATTTTGGTAGAGATGGTTCTCGCCATGCTGCCCAGGCTGGTCTCAAACTCCTGTCCCCAAGTGGCCCTCCGACCTTAGCCTCCCAAACCGCTGGGATTCCAGACGTGGACACCGCGCGGCAGCCCTGGGGTGCTAAGCCAGCCCCCCGGAGCGAGCCAGGGTGACCAAGGCGATTCTGGGGCAGTCAGAGGGTCTTCCCGGGTCGGGTTAGTGCCTCGAATCCGGGGGACGAAGACGGGGAGCTGAGCTTTCGGAGCCCGGGCTTATCAGACGGGGACCCGGAGCCCCCTCGAACCCTCCCTAGCTTGTACCAGCTGGCGGACGTGGCCCGTAGCATCGCCCTGCAGAGGGGACCTTCCCTGAAAGGGACGGGGAACGGGGTGAAGGTGGCCAGCGCGGGCAGGGAGCACCCAGATGACGATCAAGGGTGGAGGGTCCCCGGAGGACCGAGCAGTGCGTGAACACGGGCGGAGAAAGGTCAGTCTGATGGGGGGAGCTCAGGAGACCCCATCCTAGGACGGGACAGACCAGCCCCAAATCCCCTTGCAGATTTCCAAGGGCCAACTTCCAGGGACCGGGCAGACGCCACCGGGGAGAGGGGAAGGGGTCGGTGCATCAGCGGGGGGCGCCACGGCTGGACCGGGTCCGGGATCCCAGGCCCCGAATACGCCGGGACGGGAACCACCGGGGCGGGGGAGCGAGGAACCAGGACCCAAAGCCCGAGGCGGCGGGGACGGCGGCGCTGCGTGGGGAGGAGGCGGGGTGGGGATTCGAGAGTGGAACCACCGTGCGGAGCCGGCGCATCTGGGCGTGGTGACCCGCGCGCAGGGGGCAGCTGGGGACGGCGGGGCGGCCGCGGGAGAGCCCGGCTGGGGGCGCTGGTGGCCCGGCGGCTTCTGGGGGGAGTCCGCTGGGGGCCGGGACGCGGAGCCGGAGCCCCAGCCTCGCAGGGTCAGGCCGCTGGAGAGGCCGCGGGGCGATGTCGCCGGGGATTCCCGGCCGCGCTGTGACTCGGGTTGAAGGCTGCAAAGCCGAGGCCCGGCCCGCAGCGCCCAGGCCCCTCCCGTCCCCCATCTCTCTTGTTTGTCTCCGAGTCCGGCCGGAACCGGCTTCTGCTCGCGGCGGGGCGGGCGGGGGGCTGGCTGCTGATTGGTCGACGCCTGTTTCCAGCCCCGCTCAGCCAATCAGCGGGCGGCAGTGTTTTCTTCTTGGGGTCGGAATAAAAGGGCTGGAATAAAAGAGGGCAGAAAAGGCGCCGGGCGGGCCCGACACACGCCGGAGGAGCCGGGTGAGCTGCAGCAGGGAGGGGATCGCGGCCGGGGCGAGGGCGCGGGGGCAGAAGCGGCCGCCGAAGGGGCGTAGGGAGAAAACGTGGGAACGAGGAGAGAGATGGAGCGATGAGGGGCCGCCAGGGAAGAGATGACGAACAGATGCGGGCTGGGGAATGGAGGCGCGGGGGTCCGAGGCCATGGAAACGGGCGAGTTGCCGGGGGAACGCCCGAGATGGGGGTCGCGCGGCTGGCTCGCGCCACCGGTTTGAACCGGCTCCTCGTCTCCCACGCTGGGTTCGCGTGGCCGCAGCGCCTAGCGACCTAGACGGCGGCCAATGGCGCGGCAGTTCCTGCGCCGTCCGGCCAATGAGCGCGCCGGGGCGGGCCGTTCCGTAGGTCTGGGCGCTGATCTTGTGGTTGAAGAAACCAGCTCTGGGGAAGGGTCTCGGGCGCGGGCGGGAGGGCACCTGTCAGGGTCCCTGGGAGAGGCAGCCCTCGGATCTGCCCCTGCCCACCTCACGCTGCGTTCCATGCTGGCCCCAGGCGATGTCAGTCCTGCTGCAGGCCAGGACTAGTTCCACGGCCCTGAGCATGCGTTAGCCCCTTCTTGCCTCCATGCCTCAGTTTACCTCGGAGTGAGCTGCGGGAGACGTCTCCCTGCCTGGCCGGGGCGGCTCTGTCGTAGCGGAGGGCAGCGGTACGAGCCGGCCGCGGGCTCGGGGTGTCCCAGGTCCGGGCAGGGCTGGGGTTCGCTTCCTCTGCTGCGCGCACCGGCCGCCGCGGCCGGGGAGGGGTGGCAATCCCGAGCCCTGCGGCAGCGGTCGGGGCTGCTGGGGGCGGCCGCAGGGGCTGGGCAAGGGCCGGCCGCTGACGCCGAGTTCTGTGCGCAGGTGGTGCAGAGCCGGAGCCGGAGCCGGAGCCGCGCCGCGCCGCACCATGGCGCCCACCCTGGCCACTGCCCATCGGCGCCGCTGGTGGATGGCCTGCACGGCCGTGCTGGAGAACCTCCTCTTCTCGGCAGTCCTCCTGGGCTGGGGCTCGCTGCTCATCATGCTCAAGTCAGAGGGCTTTTACTCCTACCTGTGTACCGAGCCAGGTGAGACAAGCGCCTGGGGTTGCGGGGGGCTCCTGGAGCTGGGGCTTTGGGAGGGGGCGGGATGGGGGCGAAGACCTAGCGAGCCACAGCACCGCATTGCCCAGTGCCTCTAGGGTATCAGAAGGCCCATCTGATCCTCACCCAGCCCTGCCGGGTACTTGTCATTGCCCCTGTTTTGTGGACGAAGACATCGAGGCTCAGAGCGATCTGTCTTGCGCAAGGCCGCAGAGCCTGGGCCTGCCATCCACCCAGAACCCCACCTGCTGTCCAGGGTGTTCCTTCCACCCGCTACGAACAGTGCTGGACTGCTCTCCTCTCCTCCCAGCCCTGGAACATAGCTTGGCTGGTAGTAAACATGTTGCTGTCTGCTTGTGAGAAAGAGGAACTCCAGATTAAGGGGCTGGGGTGCAGCAGGAGAGGAAGTGGCCTTGCCTCCACCCCAGGGAGGGCTCATCTAGAATCTAGACGTTCCTCAGGCCATTGTGGAGTCTCCTAAGTGCTTGCTGGACACAATTTCTTGTCTATTTTTGCTGCCTTATGATTCTCCAAAGGACATTTCCCCCACGGGCTCTGAGGACATCTCCGTGGCTTTCCAACCCCATGGGGATGAAGGGGAAGAGAAGAAAGGAACGTTTATGGAAATGATGCTAGGGTTGTTCTCTCCTCTTTGCCTTGTCACTGGAATTGCTGAAGGCAGGCTGAGGATGCTTCTCTACATGACATCTGCACCACCCAACACACACTTACCTTCACACCTTCATACCCTGTTGGAGGGTCCTGATGACTACAGGGCAGTAAATTCAGCCCCACAGGAGGGCCACAGCAGCCCCCAGCCTCTAGCCTCCTACCCTCCTTCTTAGGCAACCTTGACAGGAAATTTTCCCTCTGCCTTCTCCTTGATCCCAACGGTAGCTGCATAATAGCTGAGCTCACATAATCCCTGTCGCCAGTGCTAGAGTGCCCTTAGATGGAGGTAGCCCAGGTTTGACTTCCTGAATCCCCAGCAGCAGGCCTTTTCTTTCTAGAGCTCTTTGCAGGAAGAGAAAGCTTTGGACCAGCTCATGCTGGGTGTAATCCTTTGTGGAAGCCTCCCTGTTTCCCTTCTCTGATCTGCCCCGGAGATTCCTGTGTGTCCCAGTCTCTAGGGAGGGAGGCTTAGCTGGAGAGGTTCAGGGCAGGAGAAAGCAGGAGAATGCAGAGGCCGCGGGGAGAGGACAGAAAGTATATCATTTATAACTAACCTTTAGCCTTTAGCCACTCAAAAATATTTCCTAATAGCCTAAGGGTTCTTGGCAGGTCTTTCCCCACATCAGCAAGAAATCTTGGGAGTTGGGAAGAGTCAGACCTTGTTCCCTGAACAAGCTTTCTGCTTTGGCCAAGAGTTGTTAGGAGATTAATGCCTGTCCCCGAAAGGCACAGGTTGGAGTGTTTACTTCTTCCTCTCCTTTCCTCTCTCCCCCCTTAGAGATCGTGACCCTTCCTGCTTGCCTCCCTGGTGGGCTCTTTCAGGCTGGACACAGGGTTTAAAAAAAAAAAAAAAAAGCAGAAAAAAAGTCATCGTCCCCAGAGAAAGCTTTTAGTGTCTCACCCAGACCAGAGAACTGTTGTGGGCAGGTGTTTTTTTGTGTGTTTTTTTTTTAACCCACCATGATGTCGGAAGGTCAGATTCTAGGTGTTTTTTGTTTGTTTTTTGTTTTTTGTTTTTTTTTAATAGAATGTCCACGGATTTAATTGATTGTATGGTTTTGGCAGAATTGGGTCTGGTCCTTTCATTCCTGCCTCAACCTCAGCTTCCTCCTCTGTCTAAGTGGGAGGAGTCCCAGAGATTGTGCCAGCGCAGTGCTGAGTTGGTGTTTTAAGCCCTGGGCAGACTTGACAGGTAACTCCACTAAACCAAAGTGAAGGTGAAGGGTCAGGATTGTGGGTTGAACATCAACTTCTTATCCCGAACTTTTGCTCCTGCCTCCAATTTTGGTTTTTCTTATTATCTGGCAAACATGCTGAGCCCACGTTCTGGGCGGGAAGGCTGCTGATTCCACACAGCTTATCTCTCTGGTCACACTGCTCCTTGATTCTTGGAGTCTGCATCACCAGTTTTCTTTCAGGCCAGAAATCCCCGCATTTGGCTCGTCTGGGAGTGCCTGGCGAAGTTAGGGTGAAGGTTTCTGCTTCAGTCTAACATTTTCAAACTTGGTGCATGGCTGAATTGCAGAGAAGCAGATAGGCCATTTTTGAATTTATTGAATTAGACTTGTGAAAGCCTGAGCAGTGTCCGGCTGATTGAGATGCAAATTTGTCAGCTTCGTGTCACTCTAGGACGATGCTTTAGTTTGTTCTCTAAAGAAAATTTGCCTGAACCTGTTGAAAGGTTCTTAGAACTCTTTCTTACGACTCCAGCCAGAATCTCGCCACAGACACCGTGTTGGGTTCCAGCCTGGTGAGGTGGCAGAAGGAAGGAAACAGCTCATTTCTCGGCTGCCCCGCAGTTTGTTCTTCCTTGCCTGCTGGGAGACGTGGCAGGCTGGGTTTGGGGACCTGGGTGCGGGAAGTTGGCAATGGGTTTTGCACAACGTCCTCCAGGTGTTGGCTGCTGGATGCCTCCCTCGTCCCCCTGGTGAGGGCAGGAGACCAGTTGGGTTCTCAGCCCGAGAAGCACGGGGCTTCCTGGAGCTGTGTCCTCTTGGCCTCTGGGATGGCAACGTGACGGCCCACTCCTGAGCTCTTTCTTCGTTTTCTCTGTTGTCCAGTGGCCCCCGCTTCAACAGGGTCAGGGTCAGCCTGGGGGGCTGCGGCTACCTGTGGATGGTTTTTTTTTATTTGAGACAGGGTCTCGCTCTGTTGCCCAGTCTGGAATGTAGTGTTGCAATCACAGCTCACTGCGGCCTTGACTCCTGGGCTCAAGCAATCCTCCCGCCTCAGCCTCCCGAGTAGCAGTAGCTGGGACTACAAGTGTGCGCCACCATACTCAGCTAATTTTTGTATTTTTTGTAGAGACAGGGTCTCGCCATGTTGCCTAGGCTGGTCTCAAACTCCTGGGCTCAAGCGATCCTCCTGCCTCAGCCTTCCAAAGTGCTGGGCCTGCAAGCATGAGCCATCAAACCCAGTTAGTTTTTTGTTTTTGTTTTTGGGATTACAGGTGCCCACCACCACGCCCGGCTAATTTTTGTATTTTTTAGTAGAGATGTGGTTTTACCATGTTGGCCTGGCTGGTCTCGAACTCCTGACCTCAGGTGATCCACCCGCCTTGGCCTCCCAAAGCACTGGGATTACAGGTGTGAGCCACCACGCCCGGTCAAATTTTTTGTAGAGATGAGGGTTTCATCACGTTGCTCAGGCTGGTCTCAAAACTCCTGGGCTCAAGTGATCCACCAGCCTCAGCCTCCCAAAGTGCTGGGACTACAGGTGTAAGCCACCATACCCAGTTAATTTTTAAATGTTTTGTAGAGATAGGGGTTTCACCATGTTGCCCAGGCTGGTCTTGAACTCCTGGGCTCAGTCGATCCACCCACCTCGGGCTCCCACATTGCTGGGATTATAGGCGTGAGCCACCGCTCCAGGCCTACATGTGGATCGTTAATCCCCTCTTTCTTGTAACCTAAACATTCAGTAAACATTGACGAAGGTGCCGTGCTGGGTGCAGAGGAAACAAGTCATCACACGCATACCTGTGTAACCCGTATAATTCCAGGGGGTGGTCGGGCCCCCAAGAAAGCAGGGCGCCAGGAGCTAGAACAGCAGCGGAGATGTGGCTCCTGCTGGGTGGGAGGGCCTCTCTGCGGTTCAGGTGGAAGCCTGGAGGTTGAGGAGGGGTGATTCAGGAGAGGAGGGTACACCCTGGAGGAGAGGAGGGTACACCCTGGAGGAGAGGAGGGTACAGCCTGGAGGAGAGGAGGGTACACCCTGGAGGAGAGGAGGGTACAGCCTGGAGGAGAGGAGGGTACAGCCTGGAGGAGAGGAGGGTACAGCCTGGAGGAGAGGAGGGTACAGCCTGGAGGAGAGGAGGGTACAGCCTGGAGGAGAGGAGGATACGCCCTGGAGGAGAGGAGGGTACGCCCTGGAGGAGAGGAGGGTACAGCCTGGAGGAGAGGAGGGTACACCCTGGAGGAGAGGAGAGAAGTGGGAAGGGGCGGGGGCTGCAGGGACTGGGAGGCCATTCGGGGAAACTGAATTTTATTCCCAAGACAGGAGGAAGCCAGGGAGATAGAGGAGGGCGACCATCCAATTCCCCTGTTAGAGGCTTGTGTGAATTGCTGAGGGCTTGCCACATGCTGGTATGTTTGGGTGGCATAGAAACCAGAAGTCATCACGGCCTCTGCCTGAGGAAGTCACCCACAGTCTGACCATGGGCATGAAGGCCGACCCCAGTTGTATGCTCTTGACCTCTGCAGTTTCTCCACCTGTGGTGGTGGGAGAGAGCCTCTCACCCTGGCACAGAGGTCCCTGCGAGCTCGCCCTGGCACAGAGATCGCTGCAAGGGCAGAGGGGCTGCCGCCCACCTTGGGGAAGCAGGCCCAGGCTTGATCCCCACGGGCTGAGTGAAGCTGCAGATGTGGACAGGAGATTTCTCTGCTGCCTCGAGGACCTCTTTTCTTGGGGGATGGGGAGGAGGGAACGGAGTTTCACTCTTGTCGCCCAGGCTGGAGTGCAGTGGCGCAGTCTCGGCTCACTGTAACCTCTGCCTCTCGGGTTAAAGCGATTTTCCTGCCTCAGCCTCCCAAGTAGCTGGGATTACAGGCGCCTGCCACCATACCCGGCTAATTTTTTGTATTTGTATTTGTATTTTATTTTATTTTATTTTTTTGAGATGGAGTTTCACTCTGTCGCCCAGGCTGGAGTACAATGGCATGATCTCAGCTCACCGCAAACTCCATCTCCCGGGTTAAAGTGATTCTCCTGCCTCAGCCTCCCAAATAGCTGGGATTACAGGTGCCCACCACCACACCCGGCTAATTTTTGTATTTTTAGTAGAGACAGGGTTTCACCATGTTGGCCAGGCTGGTCTCAAACTCCTGACCTCAGGTGATCTACCAGCCTTGGCCTCCCAAAGTGCTGGGATTACAGGCGTGAGCCACTGCGCCCAGCTCAAGGGCCTCTCTTTTTAGAGTCTCTCCTCACACCCACAGGCAAGTGTGGATAGTTTTTTTTTTTTTGAGACAGAGTCTTGCTCTGTCGCCCAGGCTGGAGTGCAGTGGCGCGATCTCGGCTCACCGCAACCTCCGCCTCCCGGGTTCACGCCATTCTCCTGCCTCAGCCTCCCCAGTAGCTGGGACTGCAGGCGCCCGCCACCACGCCTGGCTAAATTTTTTTGTATTTTTAGTAGAGACGGGGTTTCACCGTGTTAGCCACGATGGTCTTGATCTCCTGACCTCGTGATCCACCCGCCTCGGCCTCCCACAATGCTGGGATTACAGGCGTGAGCCACCGCGCCCAGCCGGATAGCTTTCTTAAATCCAGCCTTTCACTTTTATTGCTATAAATATGACTTTTAAACTTTTCCCCCAGTTTATTTGGAATTTTAAAAATTCCATAGCAATGGGTAAGAAGGTTTAAAGGCTGGGGCCGGCAGCCTCAGGATGCGTCTCAGAGAAGAGCTGGTGGCCTTGGCTCTTCCCACCGCCCCAGCCTCCCTCCTTCTTGGTTCGTGACCTCATTTCCCTCACAGACATCCACTGGCCACCCCTGGCTTCTGGTGTCCATGAAGGTCCTGTCCAGCTTAGGCTGGCTCTCAGGGACCTCGTGGGAGAGTCTTAGTCCCATTCCCACCAAGCGATATTCAGGGCCTCCTGGTGTTGCCGGCACATGGGCAGCCTTTTCCCGGCTCTGTTCTCTCAGCATTTTCTCTCTGGGATATGAGCCTCTAGCCCAGGTAGGCCAGCATCGGCACAGACCGAGTGGTAAGAGCGGGAGCTTTGGGGTCTGACAGCCTGGAGTCAAGCCCAGCTTCCCCAGGGACCCCCATGAGACCTTCTGCAAGTGACTTACCTGCTCTGAGCATCCCTCGGGGACACTCTGACAGTATCCTCGTGGGGAATATGGGGTGGGCGTGGGCACACCCGTTGAGCATGGCAGCTGGCACACACTTTCATTGCACACACGGCAGCCGCTGCTGGGACCACTGCTCAGGGGCCAGGCCCTGGTCAGCCCAGGACGGCCTCTGCCTGTCCGTGCCCTCCTGCCTGTTGTTTGCTCTGTGTCTGAGCCGACCTCTCACCTACATCTCCCCTGCCGGACTGAGGACTGAGATGCTGCTTCCTGTTGCCGGATAGACTAAGGATTTGAGAGACGGGAGATCCTGGGCAGGGGCCATCGGTGGGCTGTCCAGGGGCCCGCACCCTGGAGGGGGGGCTCGGAAAGCGACTAGTCAGGGAAGGGGGCAGCTCAGGAATTTAGAGGGGACCTCAAGCCAGGTACTTCTTGGCCCCCTCAAGCATCATCTTGGAGGCCCCCCTCCCTTTGTCTCCCCGGGGTGTGGGGAGGCTCCTCTTTGCCTCAGGGGAGCCTGGGGGGCCACAGCACCCTCTTTTCTCCCTGATTCCTCTGTAAAGATCTTGTGCGTCTTCTGTGAGTGGGGCTGAACGGTGTACGTCCTCCCTGGCCCTGGGTCTCCTCCTAAGCAGCCCTGTTCCTGTTCTTGGCACTCACTGGCCACACCAACTCTTGCCTGTCTTCTCAGTTCACCTTCTCTGGCCAGGCTGGGCTGGGCCACTTCTGGCCACCCCAGAGGAGGCATCTGTTTAATAAACAGGTGCAGGTGAGGAGCAGAGCAGCCTGGCCGGGGGTGAGCAGAGCAGGCTGGCCCGGGGTCAAGCTCCAGGCTGGGAGCAGAGGGCCACCCCACGCCTTGGCACTTCCTGGGTGCTTAATCTGTTTGTCTCTCTCCTGACCCACGGTGGCCCAGGTGGGACCAGAGGGAGAGGAACAGCCTGGGTGTGTCTGTTTGGGCATCTGCTGGGTGCATGTGGGCTGTTTACTGTCAACAGAGCTTCTGGGCTCACCAAGGGCTTCCTTCCCTCCAGCAGGAGGGAGACTCTCAAATTGCTCCACAAGCAGAAGGAGAAGCCGCTCACCTCCCCGGCCCCAGGCGCCTCTGTTGCTGGACGGGACGGCCTGGAGGCAGGCGGCCGGGCAGAGGGCCTGGTGGCCCCATCGGCAGGGATTTGTTTAAGACGAGAAGGCTGTTGGCCTACGTGCAAGGTCCCTGCCCCTGTGTGTAGTCGCTCCAGGGTAAAAGATGGGAAGGACAGATACCCTTGCCTCTACCCTGACCTTGCCTCTTCCCTATGTGGTTAAAGGGGTGACCAGATCTCTAATCAATTTAAGACTTTTGTTTGTTTGTTTGTGTGTTTGGAGACAGAGTCTCACTCTGTGGCCCAGGCTGGAGTGCAGTGGCACAATCTCGGCTCACTGCAACCTCTGCCTCCTGGGTTCAAGCGATTCTCCTGCCTCAGCCTCCAAAGTAGTTGGGGTTACGGGTACCTGCCACCAAGCCTGGCTAAATTTTTTTGTATTTGTAGTAGAGATGGGGTTTCACCATGTTGGCCAGGCTGGTCTCAAACTCCTGACCTCAAGTGGTCCGCCTGCCTCGGCCTCCCAAAGTGCTGGGATTACAGGCGTGAGCCACCGTGCCTGGCCTAGCCTTGGGATTTTTATCTTCTGGCTCTAGATGAGAAAACCCATGGGTTTAGAGACCCAGCTGTGGTTCCTCCCTGGGGTAACTGGAGGTCCCTGGTGCCTTTACTCAGGCAGTGCTGCCTCACCCACTCCATTCCTTGTCCCCGTGGCTCCTGCTTGCAGCAGTAGAACGTGCAGCCCCCCAAGCCCTCAGTTATTCCACGGCCCCTGTGCAGTCACTGTCCCCACAAGTCACCCATCCTGGGCCCTGGCGTGCTCTCTCCATCCATCCTCTCTGTCACCTCTGTGCTGGTTTGCTCCTATCTGCATGTCAACCTGGAAATGGCTGTTGCTTTGTAGAGACCCTCTTTCCCTGACTTCAGAGCCAATTCCTTTGCTGCTGGCAGAGCTGACATTTGAAACCAACACCAACTCACAAAGCAGCTCCTCCTTTCCAGAAGCTGCCCCACTGTGGATGGGCGAGTGGCCCAGGCCTGTCGGCTGTGGCGGTGTACATGACCGCTCTGAGCTCCACCCTGACGGGCTCGAGGACCCCGTCTGCCATGTGTTTGGCTGACCGTGTGGTAGAGCTTCTTTTTGGAAAACCGAGAGAAAGTGGCCGAGGTGGGAATCTGGTTGGTGACGTTGTATTTCTGTGGCTCCACATGGTTAACCTCGTGGCTCTGATCTCCTTAAATCCCCCCTCGATTCAACGTGGTTCTGTTGATTCCTCTCTCGATCTTTTTGGCCATTGTGATCTGGTGCCATTGTTTTTGTTTTGTTTTGTTCTGTTTTGTTTTTCGAGACGGGGTCTCACTCTGTTGCCCAGGCTGGAGTGCAGTGGTGTGATCTCAGCTTACCACAACCTCCGCCTCCCGGCTTCAAGCAATTCTCCTGTCTCAGCCTCCCGAGTAGCTGTGATTATAGACGCCCACCATGCCCGGCTAATTTTTGTATTTTTAGTAGAGATGGGGTTTCACCATATTGGCCAGGCTGGTCTTGAACTCCTGGCCTTAGGTGATCCACCCACCTTGGCCTCCCGAAGGGCTGGGATTACAGACTGAGCCACTGTACCCGGCCTGATTCTGTTTGTTTGTTTGTTTGTTTTTTGTTTTTTTTGAGACAGAGTCTAACTATTTGCCCAGGCTGGAGTGCAGTGGTGTGTGATCTTGGCTCACTGCAGCCTCCGTTTACCGGGTTCAATGATTCTCTTGCCTCAGCCTCCTGAGTAGCTGGGATTACAGGCATGCGCCACCATGCCTGGCTAATTTTTGAATTTTTAGTAGAGACGGGGCTTCACCATGTTGGCCAGGCTGGTCTTGAACTCCTGACCTCGGGCGATCCACCCGCCTCTGCCTCCCAAAGTGCTGGGATTACAGGCATGAGCCGCCACACCTGGCCCTGTTGTTTTTATTTATTCAGTAAACAGCTATTGTAGGCCAAGACCTGGGTGAGATACTGGGGACACAGAAGTGACCACAGTGCAGGCCCTGCCCTTCGGGGCTCACAGCCCAGTGGGGGATTAGACATGTCTTTGCGCTTCCACACACGCTGACGGGACTGTGCTCCCCACAGCCACTGCATCCGGCTCTGTGCCAGCTGATGGTGCCGTGATTCCCCGCCGGAGCCTCCAATAGCAGCAATGATCATGATAACCACGAGAACAGCAGCAACTTGTAGCTATTCATTATTGAGTGCTTTCTATGCCTGGGTGAGCTCCAGAAGGTTTTCTGAATTTTTCTCATTGATCTTCCCCCACACTCTAGGAGGTGGATCTTATCATTATATGATGTCCATGTTATGGACAAGGAAACTGAGCTAGAGCAAGGTCATGCAGGTAGAAAGTGGAGAATCAAACACTGGAAGCTAGAAACCAGATTCCAGTTCCACGCTCTTCATCCACACGGCCCCGGCGGGGCTCCTTGGCCACACGTTGGCATGAAGCACGAGTCCACCTGTGCGCATCCTTTCCAGTAACCTTGGAGGAACCCCGAGAGGCCTGAGCAAGCTTTTGCAAACCTCGGCGCTACAGCCCTGGCGCCAGAGGGCTGCAATTGGAAGGCAGGCAGTTACCGGAAGAAGAGCGTTTCCTTGACTCTCCCAGCGTGACCTCATGTCTAATCAAAGTCGGCTCCTGTTTTCTGCAGGATTAGTCAGCATCTCTTAACTAGCAGTCCCGGCCAGGAGAGCTCCTCAGCCACGTTCCCAGCCCGTCCTCCACCCTCCCATCTTCAGCTGCCACAGCACTTTTCTCTTCCTTTCTGTGTTGTTTTGGTGCTGGGTGGACTTTGAAGGGGGCCATTAAGGGCTGGGTGTGGCAAACACACCAGACTCAGCACCCAGCGAGGTCTAGGCATGGCCACGGGATGGCACCACTGTGACCCCGGCAAGGAAAATAAGAAAGGTGCATATCGGCTGGGTGTGGCGGCTCACGCCTGTGATCCCAGCACTTTGGGAGGCAGAGGTGAGAGGATCACCTGAGGTCAGGAGTTCGAGACCAGCCTGGGCAACATGATGAAACCCCATCTTTACTAAAAATACAAACACTAGCCGGGCGCGGTGGCAGGTGCCTGTAATCCCAGCTACTCGGGAGGCTGAGGCAGGAGAATTGCTTGAACCCGGGAGGCGGAGGTTGCAGTGAGCCGAGATCGTGCTACTGCACTCCAGCCTGGGCAACAGAGTGAGACTCCGCCTCAAAAAAAAAAAGAAAAAGAAAATATCAGGGGGAGAAGGTGGCATCTGTTCTATGTTTGAGAAGGCAGCTGGACTTCCCATTGAAGGAGGCGCCGCAGTCTCCCCACATGGACAGAGGAGAACCAGGCTATTGGGGTGAGACCAGTGCTTGTGCTTCCCAAGTGGTCTGGGTTCTGCCTCCATACTGGCTGCAGTCTGTCCCCACGGACATAGCTGCCGTGAGAAGGTTCTCACCAGCCTGGGGCCCCACAGCCAAGGCTGGGCCCTGAGGTCTGCCGTTCTAGGGTGGCGGATGCTCTCGAATGGGACTCTCAGCCTGGGCTTCGTTGCTCTTCAAGGGACACACAAAGCTCCTGAAACTGTGGATAAACCTTGGTGTGCATTTTCTGGGGAGGTCTTTATTGGATTTTTCAAAGGGTCCATGGCCCCCACAAAAGTTAAGAACCTCTACATTTTCACTCCAGGGGACTTGGGCCAAATGGCCATCCAAGCCTGCTGCGGGGTAGCCTGAGCCCTCGAGAGGCCGCCAGCCAGCCCTGGCATTCCCAGTGGGGGGACTCTGAATGGGCACCTGCCCTTCTGATCTTTGGGAATCCCTGTCATGACCCTGAGGTCAGGGTTTCCTTCCCTCTTCACACAGAGAATGTCACCAATGGCACAGTGGGCGGCACAGCAGAGCCGGGGCACGAGGAGGTGAGCTGGATGAACGGCTGGCTCAGCTGCCAGGCCCAGGACGAGATGCTAAATTTGGCCTTCACTGTGGGCTCCTTTCTGCTCAGTGCCATCACCCTGCCCCTGGGTATCGTCATGGACAAGTATGGCCCGAGGAAGCTCAGGCTGCTGGGCAGGTCAGTGTGGGTCCCTTAGGGGGCAGGGAGTGGGCAGGTGGACCCCCTGGGCTGAGTTCCCCACAGAAGGGTATCCTGGTCGTACCTGATATCAGGTGTACTGTGGAGCTCCCTGAAGGCCCTCCAGAATGGAGTTCCTACCCCGTCCGCCACCGAATCAGCAGGTACTGTGGTCCTCGCCGTGCTCCAGTACCGAATAAGAAAAGCTCCAGGCTCCAGGCCGCCCAGGGACCGGAGCTGCTTGTCACTAAGAACATGTGTTTCCCATCCCTTTGTAGTTCATAAGCATGATAATTGGGGTTTCCCTCGCATGTGTGAGACATGCTTCCCTCAAACCTTGTTACGAAGCTGGCACAGTATCCATCTGATGAGAAAAAAAACCAACAACACTGGTTTCCACAGCCCGTTTGACCTTATAGCTCCACCAGAAAAAAGATTTTCAACACGTACCCCCAATATAATAAGCACATGGAATTATAAATGATGTATATCTGTGCTCTTTTTTTTTTTTTTTTTTTCAAGACGGAGTCTTGCTGTGTCGCCCAGGCTGGAGTGCAGTGGCGTGATCTCGGCTCACGGCAACCTCTGCCTCCCCAGTTCAAGCAATTCTCCTGTCTCACCCTCCCGAGTAGCTGGGATTACAGGCGCCTGCCACCACACCCAGCTAATTTTTATATTTTTCATATTTATTTATTTATTTATTTATTTATTTATTTATTGAGATGGAGTCTCCCTCTGTCGCCCAGGCTAGAGTGCAGCGGCGCGATCTCGGCTCACTGCGAGCTCCGCCTCCCGGGTTCACGCTATTCTCCTGCCTCAGCCTCCCGAGTAGCTGGGACCACAGGCGCCTGCCACCACGCCCGGCTAATTTTTTGTATTTTTAGTAGAGACGGGGTTTCACTGTGTTAGCCAGGATGGTCTCGATCTCCTGACCTTGTGATCTGCCCGCCTCGGCCTCCCAAAGTGCTGGGATTACAGGCGTGAGCCATCGTGCCTGGCCCCTATGCCATTCTTTTTTTTTTTTTTTTCCTTTTGAGTTGGAGTTTTGCTGTTGTTGCCCAAGCAACTGGAGCTGGAGTGCAGTGGCTCCCGGCCCCCTATGCCATTCTTAATGTGCTTTATAATACATATACAAAAATATAAATGAAAATGGGCTGGGCACGGTGGCTTACACTGGTAATCCCAGCTTTTTGGGAGGCAGAGTTGGGTGGGTCACCTGAGGCCAGGAGTTCGAGACCAGCCTGGCCAACATGGTGAAACCCTGTCTCCACTAAAAATAAAAAAATTAGCCACGCGTGGTGGTGGGCGCCTGTAATATCCCAGCTACTTGGGAGGCTGAGGCAGGAGAAATGCTTGAACCTGGGAGGCGGAGGTTGCAGTGAGCCGAGATCGCGCCACTGCACTCCAGCCCGGGTGACAGAGCAAGGCTCTGTCTCAAGAAAAACCAAAAACCAAAAACAAAAACAAAACAATAACACTGAATAAAGTCATAATGGTAAATAACATTGCGTTTCTGCTTGGTTTTAGCGCCTGCTTCGCGGTTTCCTGCTTGCTGATTGCGTACGGAGCAAGTAAACCAAACGGTGAGTGTCCTCTCCCTCCATCTTCTGTCAGGGACCGGGGAGAGAGTGCCCTGAGCTGCTCCCAGGCCCACCTGCTCTTGGACACTGTCCTGGGCCTGCTGCTCCCTGCTCAAGTTAGAGGGGACACCTGTTACGCCTCTACTCAGTTACTTATCTCAAATAGACGGCGAGATCAGAGAGCAGCCACCCCAGACAGGAGCTTCCAGGGTATGAGCAACTTCCATCTCATCACCAAACCAAGCCAGTCCCTCACTGATGCCAACCTGAGAGGCAAGTTCTAAGAACCAGGCCGGCTGCAGGGGCATGGTCATCGGTGTGTGCAGAAGTCACAAGCTGAGTCCCCTCCAGGCAGCACAGGCCAAAGCATGAAGGATGGCTTAGAAGCCACCTGGTCCCCAACCCTGTTCAAGGATTTGTAGAGCAAACACCAAAAGAGGACTCGAGTTTCACCAAAATCTTAGCCAGGCTCATCTACTGATTTTCAGGAACCTGTATTTTTGGTTTCTTAGGCCTCCTGCTCGCTGCTGTTTGTTTTTTTGTTGTTGTTGTTTTGTTTTGTTTTGTTTTAGAGACAGGGTCTCTCTCTGTCACCCTGGCTGGAGTGCAGTGGTGCAGTCACAGCTTACTGCACCCTGGACCTCCCAGGCTCAAGCGATCGTCCCACTTCAGCCTCCAGAGTAGCTGGGACTACAGGCACGCACACACACAGCTAGCTAATTTTTTTGTTGTTGTTGTTGAGACAGAGTCTCCCTCTGTCGCCCGGGCTGGAGTGCAATGGCGCAATCTCAGCTCACTGCAACCTCCACCTCCCGGGTTCACGCCATTCTCCTGCCTCAGCCTCCTGTGTAGTTGGGACCACGGGCACCCGCCACCACGCCTGGCTAATTTTTTGTATTTTTATTAGAGATGGGGTTTCACTGTGTTAACCAGGATGGTCTTGATCTCCTGACCTCGTGATCCACCTGCCTCAGCCTCCCAAAGTGCTGGGATTACAGGCGTGAGCCACCGCGCCTGGCTTCACCTGGCTAATTTTTAACTTTTTTTTAGAAATGGGGTCTCACTTTGTTGCCCAGGCTGGTCTTGAACCCCTGGGCTCAAGCAATTCTCCTGCTTCAGCCTCCCAAAGTGTTGGGATTCTAGGTGTGAGTCACTGCGCCTGGACACTGCTAATATTAATTGGAGAAAAGAAGATGGGTGTGCAGCTTTTTCAAGAGCCCACGCTTTGTGAAATAGGCAAGAGGAGGCTGGGCATGGTGGCTTATGCCTGTAATCTTAGCGCTTTGGGAGGCTGAGATCGGCAGATCACCCGAGGCCAGGAGTTCGAGACCAGCCTGGCCAACATGGCAAGACATACAAAAATTAGCCGGGTGTGGTGGCGCATGCCTGTAATCCCGGCTACTTGGGAGGCTGAGGCAGGAGGATCACTTGAACCCGGGAGTCAGAGGTTGCAGTGAGCCAGGATCGTGCCATTGCACTCCAGCCTGGGTGACAAGAGCAAAACTACGTCTCGATTAAAAAAGAAAAAGAAATAGGCCTAGAGGAGGGGGTGAGAAAGGGGCAGTTCCACTCCCCAGATGTCAGGTACTAACCCCGGCCTGCGTTTACTGGATTTACTGGGAGCCTGCACCGCGCAGGACTCTGGGCTGGTCCCGGCTTCCCTGGAGCTCAGCTGGGGTCTCCACTCACGAGCTTTCCATGTCCCTGCAGCTCTCTCCGTGCTCATCTTCATCGCCCTGGCTCTGAATGGCTTTGGTGGGATGTGTATGACCTTCACCTCATTAACAGTGAGTACAGATTTTTTAAAGCTCTGTAGTTCAGTAATCTGTTTCTAAATTTGAGGCCGCTTTGATTGGTTTCTGTTTCCTTGCCTTCCATGTGCCTGCATGTGCCTGGGTGTCCCAAACAGTAGAGGGGCTATGGGCGAGGTGGCCTGGCAGGGCCTCCTCAGCTGAGGTCCACAGGCAGCAGGGCGTGGCTTCACAATCCCTTGCCTTTTTTTTTTTTTTTGAGACGGAGTCTTGCTCTGTCGCCCAGGCTGGAGTGCAGTGGGGGGATCTCGGCTCACTGCAACCTCCGCGTCCCAGGTTCAAGCGATTCTCCTGCCTCAGCCTCCCGAGTAGCTGGGACTATGGGCGTGCGCCACCACACCCGGCTAATTTTTGTATTTTTAGTACACATGGGGTTTCGCCATGTTGGTCAGGCTGGTCTCAAACTCCTGACCTCAGGTGATCCACCCGCCTTGGCCTCCCAAAGCGCTGGGGTGACAGGCGTGAGCCACCTGGCCTGGCCGACATTCCCTGCCTTCTGATCTGGGCTTTGATGCTGCGGAAGCAGCTCACTAGCCTTGTGCCCAAGGAAGGCAGAGGCAGGAAGACAAAACGCTGCCGCCCACTTTCTTTTCCTGTTTTCCTCGGCAGCTGTCATCAGGGTCTCCGGGAGCTTCGGCTCATGGAGCAGCCTGACCACCCGCCTCCCGTGGAACTGCCTCAACCTTTGCCTTTGTCCGGAGCCAGATGGAAAATGCAGGGAACATCTGGTCTTCTGCTCCTCTTGTTTCCTCCGTGCCCGGGCACAGACAGTCGCCTGGGGGAGATGTTTTCTCGGGGTACTAAGCACCCCCTTGTTGGGAGCCCCAGGACATCACAAAATATGCTCCTTCTTGATGTCAGGGAGGCAGAAGGAAGGTGGGGTTGAAAGAAAGAAAGTCAAAAAAGGGGCTGGGCATGGTGGCTCACACCTGAAATCCCAGCACTTTGGGAGACTGAGGCAGGCGGATCACTTGAGGTCAGGAGTTTGAGACCAGCCTGGCCAACATGGTGAAACCCCGTCTCTACTAAAAAATACAAAAATTAGCCGGGCGGGTGGTGCATGCCTGTAATCCCAGCTACTCGGAGGCTGAGGCGGGAGAATTGCTGGAACCTGGGAGGCGGAGGTTGCCGTGAGCCAAGATCAAGCCACTGCACTCCAGCCTGGGCGACAGAGCCAGACTCTGTCTCAAAAACAACAACAAAAAAGAAAGTCAAAAGAGGAACCAAAAAGTCTCTCCCAGAGGGAAGAAGGGAACTCTGTGGGCTCGCCCAGTTGGGCAATTGTGCCATTCCGAGCTGGCCATTGGGAAAGAAGTGAGAATAATAGCTTCTTCAGAGAGGCTTCTGTCCATCAAGGAAACCTCGCCTGCATCAGTTTACCGGTGAAAAAGTTTCTAAGACACAGTACCTACCATTACTATTTGTGGTACACTCTGGTTTCTGATTTCCCTTGTCGTGCCATTGAAGGGTTCTTGTTTAGCTTTGAGGGAGCTCTGGGGGCTTCTGGACCTCTTCTTTTTTCCTTTTTCTTTTTTTTTTTTTTGAGTCTGCTCGGTTGCCCAGGCTGGAGTGCAGTGACGCAATCTTGGCTCACTGCAACCTCCGCCTCCCGGGTTCAGGCAATTCTCCTACCTCAGCCTCCCGAGTAGTTGGGACTATAGGCGTGCACCATCACGCCTCGCTAATTTTTGTATTTTTAGTAGAGACGGGGTTTCACCATGTTGGCCAGGCTGGTCTCATACCCCTGATCTCAGGCAATCTGCCCGCCTCAGCCTCCCAAAGTGCTGGGATGACAGGCGTGAGCCACGGCGCTCGGCCGAAAACCAGCAGCTCTTTCATCAGCATGAAAACTAAAAACCTGGCCTCACCTCCATTATTTTAGTCACGCGACGCCTCTGTCACGGCAGGCCTGAATTTCAGGGATAAAGGAACGAGATGGTCCTTGAGCTTGAGGACCTCACACCCCGAAATGCCGAGAGGTGTTTTGTCTGAAAAACGACCAAGAATCCCTGTTAAGAAAGACTTTAGGCCGGGTGCGGTGGCTCACACCTGTAATCCCAGCACTCCGGGAGGCCGATGGGGGTGGTGGATCATGAGGTCAGGAGTTCGAGACCAGCCTGGCCCAAGATAGTGAAACCCCGTCTCTACTAAAATATACAAAAATTAGCTGGGCACAGTGGTGGGTCCCTGGAATCCCAGCTACTTGGGAGGCTGAGGCAGGAGAATCGCTTGAGGCCGGGAGGCGGAGTTTGCAGTGAGCCGAGATCGCGCCACTGAACTCCAGCCTGGGTGACAAGATCAAGACTCCCCCTCAAAAAAAAAAAAAGGAAAAAAAGAAAGACTTTAAAAGGGACCCTGCGGTTGGAGCTAATAGGCCAGTAAGAATTCTTTGTCTTTTTTTATGTTTTATAATTATAAAACAAAATTTTTTTCATTACATTTTTTATTTTCATTTTTTACAGATGGGGTCTTACTATGTTGACCAGGCTGGTCTCAAACTCCTGGGCTCAACAGATCCTCCCACCTTGACCTCCCAAAGTGCTGGGATTCCAGGTGTGAGCCACCATACCTGGCCCAAAAATGATTTTATTTTAAAAATTCAGGTTGGGAGCAGTTGCTCACACCTGTAATCCCAGCACTTTGGGAGGCTAAGGTGGGAGGATCATTTGAGGCCAGGGTTGAGACCAGCCTGGGCAACATAGCGAGACACCTTGTCTCTCCAATTTTTTTTTTTTTTTAATTAGCCAGGGCATGGTGGCAGTTGCTTGTAGTCCCAGCTCCTCGGGAGGCTGAGGTGGGAGGAAGGCTTGAGCCCAGAAGTTCCAGGCCACAGTATGCCACAATGACACCACTATATTCCAGCCTGTGTGACAGAGCGAGACCTTGTCCCAAAAATAAAAGTAAAAATTTAACATTTCAGAAATATGAATTGTAGACTAAACTTCTATGAGCCTGCCAGGCGCAGTGGCTCACACCTGTAATCCCAGCACTTTGGGAGGCTGAGAAGGTTCCCATCACCTGAGGTCAGGAGTTCGAGACCAGCCTGGCCAACATGGTGAAATGAAACCCCATCTCTACTAAAAATACAAAAATATTACTCGGGCATGGTGGCACACGCCTGTAATCCCAGCTACTTGGGAGACTGAGGCAGGAGAATCGCTTGAACCTGGGTGGCGGAGGTTGCAGTGAGCCGAGACCGCGGCATTGCATTCCAGCCTGGGCAACAAGAGCGAAACTCCGTTTAAAAAAAAAAAATTCTATCAGCCTGTCTTCATCAGTTTGGAATATATTTCTTCAGTATTTAAAAGATCTGCATGTACCAGTGTTATTCTTTTTTTTTTTCTTAAAAAAAAAAGAACTGTGATAACTTGCCTTTTCCCTTAATGTATCTTTTACATCCTTTCCTGTCAGTACTTAGAGATCTGCCTTATTATTAAGCAGTTCTGTATATTATTCTTTAATATAGATGGACCATCATTTATTCAACCTGTTTCCAACTAATGGACTTTTGGCTTGGTTCCCAATTTTTCCAATTTATGAATGCTGCTGAAGTGAGCATCCCTGTACATGTATTTCTGTAAAATAAGTTCCTGGCAGCCCTGGGCCACAGGATTAGCATGTTTTAAAATTTAATATGTACTGTTAAATAGTCTTCTAAAAATGTTATCTGGCCGGGCGCAGTGGCTCACGCCTGTAATCCCAGCACTTTGGGAGGCTGAGGCGGGCAGATCACCTGAGGTCAGGAGTTCGAGACCAGCCTGACCAGTATGGTGAAACCCCGTCTCTACTAAAAATACAAAAATTAGCTGGGCTTGGTGGAGGGCGCCTGTAATCCCAGCTACTTGGGAGGCTGAGGCAGGAGAATCGCTTGAACCCGGGAGGCAGAGGTTGCAGCGAGTCGAGATTGCGCCACTGCACTCCGGCCTGGGCGACGAGTGAAATTCTGTCTCAAAAAAAAGCCTGCCTGCCACCACAGGCCCACCAGCACGTACACGAGTGTCTTTTCCTCCATGTCCCTTCCAGTGCCATGTCATTCCTCTTTAAAACATAGCCACTCTGATCCTATGAAAAACGACATGCCATTTTTAAAATTTATTTCATTATTAGTGAGACAGAGCATTTTTTCTCCTCTTTATTGGTAAATTGCATTTCTTCTGTGAATTGCTTCTTTGTGTCATTTGTCTATTTTTCTACAGTGCTCTTGATTTTATTATTATTAGTATTTAGTGACTCGTAAGAGCTCTTTCAAATACAAAGACACTAGTGTTCTTTCCGAGTGAGCAGGAGATCTTACCCTGGGGTTTTCAGGTCTCTACATGGTCCATGAGTAAGCTTCAGGAGAGCCGTGCACACCCTTGAAATTCCATGCCAACAAAGCGTGTGTAGGTGCTGCTCAGCTGTGTCTTTCTGGAGGGGAGGGTCCATTACTTTCACTGGCCTCTGGCAGGTCTGTGTGAAGGCTAAAAACCACTGCGGTGGCCGGGTGCGGTGGCTCACACCTGTAATCCCAGCACTTTGGGAGGCCAAGGTGGGTGGATCACCTGAGGCCAGGAGTTCAAGACCAGCCTGGCCAACATGATGAAACCCAATCTGTACTAAACATGCAAAAATTAGCCTGGGATGGTGGCATGTTCCTGTAATTCCAGCTACTCGGGAGGCTGAGGTGGGAGAATTGCTTGAACCCGGGAGGCGGAGGTTGCAGTGAGCTGAGATCGCACCACTGCACTCCAGCCTGGGTGGCAGAGTGAGACTCCGTCTTAAAAAAAAAAACAAAACACACAAACCACTGTGGCAGGAGCGTTTCTATTCACTCTTTGCTCTCCCACTGGAGGCAAAAAGCTACACAGGCTAGAGAGTGACCAGGCAAGAGAGTCACCTGATCACCATTTGAAGCGTTTGGCTACCAGAGGTCTGTCTAAGGGAGGCTGTTGGTTTGTTCTTCAAGGTTTTCATTTTTTGATCTAGAGCAGGAGTCAGCAAACCGCCATTGCCAGGCCAAATCCAGACCACTGCCTGTTTTTGTAAACAAAACTTCATGGGGTAGAGCTGTGCCTGTTTGCTCCTGTCTGTGGCTGCTTTTGTGGTATCTCATCAGAGTCAACGCAGTCGTGACAGAGGCCATATGGCTTGTAAAGCCCAAAAGGTCTACTGTCTTAGCCAGGCACACTAGCTCACGCCTGTAACCCCAGCACTTTGGGAGGCTGAGGCGGGTGGATCACCTGAGCTCATGAGTTTGAGAGCAGGCTGGCCAACATGGTGAAACCCCGTCTCTACTAAAAATGCAAAAATTAGCCAGATGTGGTGGTGGGCGCCTGTAGTCCCCACGACTCAGGAGGCTGAGGCAGGAGAATTGCTTGAACCCGGGAGGCAGAGGTTGCAGTGAGCTGAGATTGTGCCACTGCACTCCAGCATGGGTGACAGAGCGAGACTCTGACTCAAAAAAAAAAAAGTCTATTGTCTGGCCCTTTATGGAAAAAGTTTGCCAACCCTTGGTCCAGAGGCCCCAGGAAGCTGCTACGTCACTGTTCCTCGTCTGAGGGCATGTGCTGACACCCACCATTCACACCCACACCCTCTGGTTGCATGGGCCAGCTCTCCTTCTAAGTCATCTCTTTCTGCCTCCCCCCAGGGTGGAGGGAGTTCCATGGGCATTCCCCTGCCCCCTGAGGCCTCTGATGAGGGCTCCAGTGCCTGCTCCTTGAGAACAGACCCCAAAAGGGAAATGAGGTCAGTGAGGACAGGGCTGAAGCAGTTAAGCAACACTCTTGGGCTGACTGGGGCTTCTGCTGAGCAGAGCCGAATCTCATTCTGATACAACCCAGGACTTCAGAAAGCAGAACTGTCGGGATCAGCTCCCAGAGACGCCAAGCTCAGGGCACAATGGCACTTTCTGTTTGTGTCTCCCACCCGTGTTCTAATTTGGGGGACAAAGGAGTCTCCAGGGTCGCCTTTAGGAATTTCTAACTCCAATCTTCAACAACCATGTTGGGGCTGTGGATAATAGCTCTGTGATAACCCAGGACTCTAGGGGACGGCGCTGTGGAAGCCTTAATTCGGGGACTTCCTGGGTCCCGGGGCCTTTGTGCTGCATGGGCTGTGGTCTAAATACAGATGACCAGGGGCTGCGAGCTGTTACCCCCACTGGTAGGAGAGGGGGCTCCAAGCGGGCACACGCCTTTTCCTTGTAGTCCAGAAGGAGATGGCCATGAGCCATCCTTCCAGAGCCCAAGAGGTCGGCACCCATGGTGGTATTTCCCTCCCAAGTGGAGGCTCCGAGGGGCAAGGGTGGCTGTCGCGTCAGGTAGGCTGCCCAGTAGCCAGTGCTGGCTCTCCCAGGGCCCTGCAGCACAGGGCCTGGGCCATCGCGTGCCATCCGTGGAGGGCGGACGCCAGGTCACTCCATGGGGGCAGAGCACTCCCCACGGTGTGGATCCTCAGCCTCCCCCGGGACATCTGGACGGCACGCTCAGTGTTTGTTCAGTGCCTCGCGTTTGTACAGCCCTTTGCACTCGCTTCATCGGCTGGAGCACAAACACGGCCGGCGGCTGAGGCCGCATCTTGGGGTCGCCACCCTCCAACCCGGAGCCTGGGTTGCTTAGAGATGGGAGCAGCTGTAGCCAAAATTGTGAACCTGCCATTTCCACTCCATTACTCTGACCCCTGTCCCCGTGGGTGGGATGGGGATTTCTCAGCAGAAGCCACACAGAAAAGCGGGTTTCAAAATGTTGCCAGGCTCCCCGATGAGACATTTCTCTGTGGATTTTCCCTTTTGATTCCTTCAAGTCTGACTTTAAACCTGAGGAAGGCATGATTTCATGGGAGGTGGGATCTGAGGGAAGTGAAGAGGATAAACATCCCTCTTCAGATCCTGGAGAGGAGGGCAGGATGGCAGATGCCCCCAGAGAGGGGACAGGAGTTTAGTGCCGTGGCTCAGTAGACCCCGCGTCTGCAGCCAGGAGAGGGTCCCACGGTGGCCCCCGGCCAGCTCTGGAGGGTCCAGGAGAGGGTCCCGCGGTGGCCCCCGGCCAGCTCTGGAGGGTCTAGGTGCCTGGTGAGCGGGACTTGCCAGTGCCCAGTGCCTGCTGTGCCTCCCCACCTTCCTCTCTTTCTGTCCTGTACCTTGGGGAAGCTCAGGCAGTCAGCTACTTGCCATTGGTTTGGGGAGAATTTGCCATCTGAGGGTTCTGCCTCATGAATTTGCTGCAGTATGTGACCACGTTCAGACGGAAAGGGCAGCGGTATTGGCAGGACTGGACCCGGCCGGGAAGGCACAGGAGGTGGCCGGGGGAGGGGAGCACACCCTTCCCCTCCCTTCAGCACTGAAGCAGAAAGGTGACCACAAGGACCTTGTCCCGGGCAGCATGTGCTTGGAGGTGCCCGGTTGTTGTGGGTAGGAAACAGCCCAGCCTGGCAGAGTCTACCTGTGCAGTCTGGTTCCGGGATCCCGGCCTGTGCAGGTTGTACAGAACTCTGGGTGTGTACTCCAGCCACTTGGGGACAAGGCTCCCTCTGGAGGGGACCCGAGGGCCAGAATGCCAGCCCCCACCCACCACCCAGCTCCCCAGCCCCCACCCACCTCCCAGCTCCGCAGCCCCCACCCACCACCCAGCTCCCCAGCCTCCTGCAGGCCAGGGAGGACTCGGGAGTCCGTGGATGTGGAAAGTCAGGGCCGGGGGTGCCACGGTTGCCCCTTGTTTCTGCCTGCCAGCAATGCCATGGCCTGCCCTGGGCCAAAAGGCACGTACGTCCGGCATCTTAGAGAAGCTCCCGCGCCCGCACTGTCCCAGGGCCTTGGCCCTGCAGGCACTCCTGTCCGGTGGTCATGCTCTATGGCCAGAATGCCAGGGGAGGGGCCGCCTGCAGCTGCTGTTTTCCCCTCTGGGAAGGTCACACAGTCCGGCCTGTTTATGCTGCAGCCAGGGGGCTGAAAGAGAGAGAGTCACGGGCTTCCCTGTGTGACTGAGGCTGCGTGGAGGCAGTGAGTGAACAGCCCGGGCTGGCAGGACAGGTTGACCCGCACGGAGGCAGAGGCGGCGAGGGGGCTGTGGGAAGCACCTGAGGGCGGGAAGAGGGGCTTGCACTCCCACCTGTGAGTGTGGTGGTGAGTCAGGAAACAGCTCCGGCTTCCTGCTTGGCAGCAAAGCTGGTCCTTCCCCTCCTGGGGTCCTTCCCCTCCGCCAGCCCTCGAGGCCCGCGCTAGGGCGCTCTGCTCAGCGCTCAGCCCTCACTCCGGCACCGCGGCTTCGAACAGCCATTATGCGCAGCTGAGACCGGTGGAGGCAGGGAAGCTGGGGACGGAGTGAGCGAGAGGGGGAATGTGGGGAGTGACCCAGATGTCAGGATGACCTACGGGAGTCCACAGGCAAATGCAAGCCCATCCGATGCTGTGGCGCTGGACCATGGGGAGGTCAGCCGAAGGCAACAGCAGGAGGTGAGGGCAGGGGGCAGATGGGTCTAAAAGGAGCTTCAGAAGGAATGTAAGCCATCTCTAGTTGGGGACTGGGCATTGTGGTATCCCCCTGTAGTCTCAGCTGCTCAGGAGGCTGAGGTGGGCAGATGAGTTGAGCCCAGGAGTTCTGCACAATAGCGTGCTGTGTTGATGAGATGTCTACACTAAGTTCAGCATCAGTGTGGTGACCTCCGGGGGGTGAGGGACCCCCAGGTTGCCTAAGGAGGGCTGAACCGGCCCAGGTCAGAAACAGAGCAGGTCAAAAGTGTCCTGCTGATCAGTAGAGGGATCATGCCTGTGAATAGCCACTGCGCTCCAGCCTGGGCAATACAGCATGACCTCATCTCCAAAAACAAATTTAAAAAAATGACCGGGCGCGGTGGCTCACGCCTGTCATCCCAGCACTTTGGGAGGCCGAGGCGGATGGATCACCTGAAGTCAGGAGTTCGAGACCAGCCTGGCCAACATGGCGAAACTCCATCTCTACTCAAAATACAAAAAAAAAATTAGCTGGGCATCGTGGCGTAGTGGCACATGCCTGTAATCCCAGCTACTCGGGAGGCTGAGGCAGGAGAATCGCTTGAACCAGGGAGGTGGAGCTTGAAGTGAGCTGAGATTGTGCTGCTGCACTGTAGCCTTGGCGACAGAGTGAGGCTCTGTCTCAAAAAATAAATAAGTAAATGAATGAAAAATAAACCTCTAGTTGAAGGGCGCAGATTGGATCTTAATAAGGCACATGTAAAAGCCGTGGGATCCAAACTGAAGTGTGTATTGGCCGGAGCCACAGGAGACTCCAGAGAGGCAGCGTGGCCTGGGGCCTACACACAGAGGCTTGGCCTGGCTTGAATCCCCAATCTGACCATTACTAGCTTGGGGGAGTCCCTTGACTTTTCTAATCTTTAAGTTTTTGTTTTGTTTTGTTTTGTTTTGTTTTTTGAGGCAGAGTTTCACTCTTGTTGCCCAGACTGGAGTGCAATGGCGCGATCTCAACTCACTGCCACCTCTGCCTCCTGGGTTCAAGCGATTCTCCTGCCTCAGCCTGCCGAGTAGCTGGGATTACAGGTGCACGCCACCACGCCTGGCTAATTTTTTGTATTTTTAGTAGAGATGGGGTTTCACCGTATTGGCCAGGCTGGTCTCGAACTCCTGACCTCAGGTGATCCCCTGCCTCGGCCTCCCAAAGTGCTGGGATTACAGGTGTGAGCCACCGCGCCCGGCCTCATGGTGTTTTTTGACCAATAAAAGTTTTTAAATAGGTGGTCAAAAGTGTGTTTCAGCTTTTAGGGAGTACCTAGCATTTGTGTCAAATGAAACCTCTCTGAAGAGAACATGAAGGATGACCTTGACCAGTGAAACCCAAAGCATAAACATCCTGACAGCAGTCAATGTGTGGTCACAACAGAATAACAAGGACAGGAGAAGAAAGGCCATCTCTGTGGACACTAATTATTTATTTAAAGGGGAATACTAATTTGTGTTTTATCCTGTAGTCGGCTTCCTTTTCTTCCTCCCAGAGCTGTGGTTCCTGCCAGAGGACACTTCCCTCGTTGGCTATGCCCAGGAGCAGCTTGACCAGAAGATTTTCCCTGTTATGAAGTCATAACACATATCATAATAGTAACTATTGTTAATACCTACCCTATTTATGATCTTTAAAACCCTCGGCCGGGCGCAGTGGCTCACGCCTGTAATCCCAGCACTTTGGGAGGCTGAGGCGGGTGGATCACCTGAGGTCAGGAGTTCGAGACCAGCCTGGCCAACATGGTGAAACCCTGTCTCTACTAAAAATACAAAAATTAGCCGGGTGTGGTGGCGGGTGCCTGTAATCCCAGCTACTTGGGAGGCTGAGGCAGGAGAATCGCATGAACCCGGGAGGTGGAGGTTGCGGTGAGCCGAGATTGCACCATTGCACTCCAGCCTGGGCAATAAGAGCGAAACTCCATCTCAAAAAAAAAAAAAAAAACTGAAAAAACAAAACACCATGAATTAAGAAGTTAAATGACAAACTAGGAAAATTTATTCATAGTATATAGAACTGTGAATGTCTTCATTTTATTTTATTTTTATTAATTTTTGAGACAAGAGTCTCGCTCTGTCGCCCAGGCTGGAGTGCAGTGGCACAATCTCGGCTCATTGCAACCTCTGCCTCTGGGGTTCAAGCGATTTTTCTGCCTCAGCTTCCCAAGTAGCTAGGATTACAGGTGCCTGCCACCATGTCCGGCTAATTTTTGTATTTTTAGTAAAGACGAGGTTTCACTATGTTGGCCAGGCTGGTCTCAAACCCCTGACCTCAGGTGATCCGCTTGCCTCGGCCTCTGAAAGTGCTGGGATTACAGGTGTGAGCCACCGTGCCCGGCCTGTGAATGAATGTCTTTAATACATAAAGAGCCTTCACAAAATCAATATACAAAGATTGGCCGGGTGCAGTGGCTCATGCCTGTAATCATTGCAGTTTGGGAAGCCAAGGTGGAAGGATCGCTGGAATCCAGGAGTTCAAGACCAGCCTGGGCAATAGAGTGAGACCCTGTCTCTATAAAAATAATTAAAACAAAGCTGAAGGAGACCTTGCTATGCAGCCCCCTGCCGCTTGTGCACCCTTGTCGACCCACACGCACCTTCAGGAGGGCGGCGCACACCTGGGGTAGTCACAGTGCAGGACTCTGGCTCAATAGCGCCTTTGCATTGGTTTGGACCTTCGGGAGGGCGGTACACGTCTGGGGTAGTCTCAGTGCAGGACTCTGGCTCAATAGTGCCTTTGCATTGGTTGGGACCTTCGGGAAGGCAGTGCATGCCTGGGGTAGTCTCGGTGCAGAAGGACTCTGGCTCAGTAGCACCTTTGCATCAGTTTGGACCTTCGGGAGGGCGGTGCAGAAGGACTCTGGCTCAATAGTGGCTTTGCATCGGTTTGGACCTTCCGGAGGGTGGTACACGCCTGGGGTAGTCTCAGTGCAGGACTCTGGCTCAATAGCACCTTTGCATTGGTTTGGACCTTCGGGAGGGCAGTACATGTCTGGGGTAGTCTCAATGCAGGACTCTGGCTCAGTAGCGCCTTTGCATTGGTTTGGACCTTCGGGAGGGCGGTGCATGCCTGGGGTAGTCTCAGTGCACGACTCTGGCTCAGTAGCGCCTTTGCATCGTTTTGGACCTTTGGGAGGGCGGTGCATGCCTGGGGTAGTCTCGGTGCAGAAGGGCTCTGGCTCAGTAGCGCCTTTGCATCAGTTTGGCCTTGGCTCCCAGCACTGGTTGTTTCCAGCGGGGTTGTCGGCTGTGTGAAGCAGGCCGTGTGCCTCTCTGGCTGTGGGGCTCTGTTCGGTGGTGTAGCAGGCCTGAGTGCTTATTAGCCATCTCGGGATCCAGGGAACATTTGGGTTTTCCCAGCTACACCTGGAAACTTGGCGGGCATATGGGAATGAGATTCTACCACTCTGGAAGATTCATGCCCACAGGTTTCATTGCAGTTTGCTGATGGTCCGCAAGCCTGAAATTAGCGTGTGGAACAGACCCCTTTGGTAGCAGTCTAGTGCCAGCTCAGACCTACGAAGAATTAAAAATCTGCAAACTTCCACTATTTTCAATGTCTTAAGGGAAATAAATGCAGCATTTTTGCATTTCTGACATTTTACTTAAAACAAACAAACAAACAAACAAACAAACACCACCAAACTGGGAGGGGTGGAAAATCAGTCGCTACCACAACAACCCTATGGAGGCAGCAAATATGCAACGCGATTCTTGTATTCAGATGTTATCTTTTCTTTCGGTATCTCTAGGTAAAATCTCAAGGGTAAAATGTTAGTTGTCAACATTGAGGGTCCTGAAACCTGATTCCTCACTCAGAGGAACAGTGTGGAAAAAAAAAAAAAAGTCTGGGCGCAATGGTTCACGCCTGTCATCCCAACACTTTGAGAGGCTGAGGTGGGCAGATCGCTTGAGGTCAGGAGTTTGAGACCAGCCTGACCAACATGGTGAAACCCTGTCTCTACTAAAAATACAAAAATTACCTGGATGTCATAGCAGGTGGCTATAATCCATCCCAGCTGCTCGGGAGGCTGAGGCAGGAGAATCATTTGAACCTGGGAGGCAGAGGTTGCAGTGAGCCAGAATCGTACCATTGCACTCCAGCCTGGATGACAGAGCGAGACCATGTCTCCAAAAAAAAAAAAAAAAAAAAAGAGGAAAGAAAAAAAAATCTCTTATGAGATTTAGAATGTCTCTTCTTTTGCTCACCTTAGAGCACAGACCTACTTTGAAATTATGTTAAATGAAATATTGGAAGGGCGCGGTGGCTCATACCTGTAATCCCAGCATTTTGGGAGGCTGAGGCGGGCGGATCACTTGAGGTCAAGAGTTTGAGACCAGCCTGGCCAACATGGCTAAACCCCGTCTCTACTAAAAATACAAAAATTAGCCAGGCGTCGTGGCAGGCACCTGTAACCCTGGCTACTCGGGAGGCTGAGGCAGGAGAATTGCTTGGACCCGGGAGGTGGAGGTTGCAGTGAGCCGAGATAGCACTACTGCACTCCAGCCTGGGTGACAGAGCCAGACTCCGTCTCAAAAAAAAAAAAAAAATATATATATATATATATTCAATTAATATATAGCTTACTGTAAAAAAAAAAAAGAAAGATTAACATCCCCATAGAAAAAAAGGACAAATATAAATGATTTTTTTTTTTTTGAGACGGAGTCTTGCTCTGTCACCCAGGCTGGAGTGCAGTGGCGCAATCTCAGCTCACTGCAAGCTCTGCCTCCCAGGTTCACGCCATTCTCCCGTCTCAGCCTCCCGAGTAGCTGGGACTACAGGCGCCCGCCACCACGCCCAGCTAATTTTTTGTATTTTTAGTAGAGACGGGGTTTCACTGTGTTAGCGAGGATGGTCTCGATCTCCTGACCTCATGATCCACCCGCCTCAGCTTCCCAAAGTGCTGGGATTACAGGCGTGAGCCACCGCGCCTGGCCAAATAATTTTTTAAGTTGTAGAAAAATGTTGAAAGTCATTAGTAAAAGTTTTTTGTTTTTTTGAGACGGAGTCTAACTGTGTTGCCCAGGCTGGAGTGCAGTGGCTCAGTCTCTGCTCACTGCAACCTCTATCTCCCAAGTTCAAGCGATTCTGCTGCTTCAGCCTCCCAAGTAGCTGGGACTACAGGTGCCTGCCACCACGCCCAGCTAATTTTCTTTATTTTTGGTAGAGACAGGGTTTCACCATGTTGGCCAGGCTGGTCTTGAACTGCTGGCCTCAAGTGATCCACCTGCCTCAGCCTCCTAAAGTGCTGGGATTATAGATGTGAGCCACTGCGTCTGGCCTCAGGGTGATTTTTACCTTATTCTTTTTATACTTTGCTCCAAACATTTTGCAATGGATATGCTTTTCTTTTCTTTTTTTGAGACAGAGTCTCACTCTGTCGCCAGGCTGGAGTGCAGTGGCATGATCTTGGCTCATTGCAACCTCTGCCCCCTGGGTTCAAGCAATCCTCCTGCTTCAGCCTCCCAAGTACCTGGGACTACAGGTGCACGCCGCCACACCCGGCTAATTTTTGGTATTTTTAATAGAGATGGGGTTTCACCATGTTGGCCAGGATGGTCTCGATCTCGTGATCCGCCCACCTCAGCCTCCCAAAGTGTTGCGATTACAGGCGTGAGCCACCGCGCCCAGCCCAGGCATTGCCGTTCTAAGGAAAAGATCATAATTAAAAATACAAGATGTCAGTGTTGGTTTGAAGGCTACCTAGTGTGGTTCCCCTGAGGCACTCTACTCCCTAAGGAATGGCCCTGCTGACCAGAATAACATGTTGGGAAGAATTTTCTTGGTGCTGGTAAGAATGTTCCAGGCGGCAAGAGGCAGGGCATCAAAGGGAGCAGCTGGGAGGCCCCTGCCCTGTCCAGGCCTGAGGGCAAGGCCTCATCCATGGACAGATGGAGAGTCGGCCTCTTCCCCAGGTTCTGCTCTTCCCCATCCTGGATCTAGTGCTGGGGAGAAGACTCCAGAAGACCAGGCAGGGCCACATGGTCACCCCAGGGCCCTGTGGCTCTGTTGGTCTGTAGCCTAGGTTAGGGTTAAGGCAGGCAGGCTTGAGATTAAAAAGGTAGAAGGAAAATGCCTAGCTAGCAAGCTCTCTGCTTTTCCGGAACATTCTCTAGCTCTGTTGAAAAGTTTGAGACACTCTTTTTACCCAAAGGTGACTGCAGCAACCTACATGTTAGCCTCACCTGACCCTGCACCAAGGGAGCCAGGCTCTGGGCTTCCATTTGCCCTTCTGGTTGGGTTCCAAGCCTTCTCTGGGCCTCCCTTTTTTTTTTTTTTGAGACAGAGTCTCGTTCTGTCACCCAGGCTGGAGTGCAGTGGCATGATCTCGGCTCACTGCAACCTCTGCCTCCTGGATTCAAGCAATTCTGCCTCAGCCTCTTCCCCAGTAGCTGGGACTACAGGCACCCACCACCACGCCCAGCTAATTTTTGTATTTCTAGTAGAGACAAGGTTTCACTGTGTTGGCCAAGCTGGTCTCAAGCTCCTGACCTCATGGTCCACCTGCCTCGGCCTCCCAAAGCGTTGGGATTACAGGCGTGAGCCACCGCGCCTGGCCCCTTTCTTTCTTTCTTTCTTTGCGCCGGCTGTGCTGGCATGCCGGGCAGGAACACTTCCCTCCTTCCGCATAAGCAGAACAAATATTTGCATTCTCACTGGGGTAGATATGGCCACGGAGATGCCTTTGCTACAGTGCAGTAATGGAGCAGCCCAAATATGTGAGCTTGGGAACCGAGGCTTGTCCTTTGAACTGCAACCTACCTGGGAGGCAGGTACCCAGAGAGTAAGATTGCTCACCTGGGCGTGCCTGGGCACGTGTGAGCACATCACATTTCTTTTGTCTTCTGTTGGAAGGGATTTCTTTTCTTTTCTTTTTCTTTTTTCTTTTTTTTTTCTTTTTGAGACGGAGTCTCACTCTGTCGCCCAGGGTGGAGGGCAGTGGCGATATCTTGACTCACTGCAAGCTCTGCCTCCCAAGTTCAAGTGATTCTCCTGTCTCAGCCTCCTGAGTAGCTGGGATTACAGGTGCCCGCCATTATGCCCAGCTAATTTTTGCATTTTTGTAGAGATGGGGTTTCACCATTTTGGCCAGGCTGGTCTCGAACTCCTGACCTCAGGTGATCCGCCCACCTTGGCCTCCCAAAGTGCTGGGATTACAGGCGTGAGCCACCTCGCCCGGCCTCATTTCTTTTTTTTTTTTGAGTCTTGCTCTGTCGCCCAGGCTGGAGTGCAGTGGCACAATCTTGGCTCACTGCAACCTCCACCACCCGGGTTCAAGCAATTCTCCTGCCTCAGCCTCCCAAGTAGCTGGGATTACAGGTGCACGTCACCATGCCTGGCTAATTTTTGCATTTTTTTAGCAGGGACGGGGTTTCACCATGTTCGCCAGGCTGGTCTTGAACTCCTGATCTTGTGATCTGCCCACCTCGGCCTCCCAAAGTGCTGGGATTACAGGCGTGAGCCACCGTGCCCAGCCTCTTTTTTTTAAAACGTAGTCTTGCTCTGTTGCGCAGGCTGGAGTGCAGTGGCACGATCTCGGCTCACTGCAACCCCCGCCTGGGTTCAAGTGATTCTCCTGCCTCAGCCTCCCGAGTAGCTGGGATTACAGGCATGTTCCACCATACCTCGCTAAGTTTTTGTATTTTTGGTAGAGACGGGGTCTCACTATGTTCCCTAGGCTGGTCTGGAACTCCTGACCTCGTGATCCGCCCGCTTCGGCCTCCCAAAGTGCTGGGATGACAGGCGTGAGCCACCGCGCCTGGCCTCACTGTGACTTTTTGGTGTCCTAATGGGTATCAAGTGGTATCTCATTGTGGCTTTGATTTGAATTTCACTATGATTAATGATGTTGAGCATCTTTCCATATGCTTATTGGCCATTTGTATATCTTCTTTGGAGAAATGTCTATTCAGATCCTTTGCCCATTTAAAAAATTGGTTATTTCAAAAAATAGCTGGGCGTGGTGGCACATACCTGCAATGGGAGGTGCCGCTCGGGAGGCTGAGGTGGGAGAATGGCATGAACCCAGGAGACAGAGGTTGGAGTGGGCCGAGATCGCACCACTGCACTCCAGCCTGGGAGACAGAGCGAGACTCCATCTAAAAAAAAAAATTGGTTATTTATCTTTTTATTATTGAGATGTAGGGGTTCTTTATATGTTCTATTTTTTGTTTTTTGAATAACTGTTGGGCACTATGTTTATATATTCTAGATGCAAGCTCTTGATCTGTGATTTGTAAGAAGTTTCTCCCATTCTGTGCATTCTTTTCACTTTCTTGAACTCCTGCCCTCAAGTAATCCCGCTGCCCCAGCCTTCCAAAGTGCTGGGATGACAGGCACGAGCCACCACTCCCAGCCTGTTTTCACTTTCTTTTTTTTTTGAGATGGAGTCTCGCACTCTTGCCCAGGCTAGAGTGCAGTGGATCAATGTCAGCTCACTGCAACCTCCATCTCCCGGTTCAAGGGATTCTCCTGTCTCAGCCTCCCGAGTAGCTGGGATTACAGGCGTCCACCACCACGCCCGGCTAATTTTTTGTATTTTTAGTAGAGATAGGGTTTCCCCATGTTGGCCAGGCTGGTGTTGAACTGCTGACCTCGTGATCTGCCTGCCTCGGCCTCCCAAAGTGCGGGGATGACAGGTGTGAGCCACCGCGCCCGGCTCTCTTTTCACTTTCTTGATGCCATCCTTTGAAGCACAGAGGTTTTAAATTTTGCTGACATCCCTTACTCATTTTTAAAAGTGGGCAAAACAGGCAGCAGTGACTGCAGACAGGTATGTCGCCAAGTTCAAACTCCCTCCGCTCAGTAACAGTTAATTTGCTTGCAGGCAGGCAGGTTTGATAAAACAAAAATTATTTATTTTGGGAGGCCAAGGTGGGAGAAGAGCTTGAGGCCAGGAGTTCAAGTCTAGCCTGGGCAATATAGTGAGACCCCATCTCTACAAAAATAATTAAAGGCCGGGCGTGATGGCTGATGCCTGTAATCCCAGCACTTTGGGAGGCCAAGATAGATGGATCGCTTGAGGTCAGGAGTTCAAGACCAGCCTGGCAGCATGGTGAAACCCTATCTCTACTAACAATACAAAAATTAGCCGGGCATGGTGGTGCACACCTGTGGTCCCAGCCACACAGGACGCTGAGGCAGGAGACTCGCTTGAACTTGGGAGGTGGAGGTTGCAGAGAGCCAAGATTGCATGTCAGTGCATTCCAGCCTGGGTGACAGAGCGATACCCTGCCTCCAAAAAAAAAACCACTAGCTGGGGCATGGTGGCGTGGGCCTGTTGTCCCAGTGACTTGGGAGCTGGGGGGGGAAGATCACTTGAGCCAAGTTGGAGGCTGCAGTGAGCTATGATTGCATTACTGCACTCCCACCTGGGCAACAGAATGAGACCCTGTCTCTCTCTCTCTTTTTTTTTTTTTGACACAGAGTCTCGCTCTGTCACCCAGGCTGGAGTGCAGTGGCGCAGTGTCGGCTCACTGCAAGCTCCGCCTCCCGGGTTCAAGCCATTTTCCTGCCTCAGCCTCCCAAGTAGCTGGGATTATAGGCGCCTGCCACCACATCCGGCTAATTTTTGTATTTTTAGTAGAGACAGGGTTTCGCCATGTTTGCCAGGCTGATCTCGAATTCCTGACCTCAGGTGATCTGCCCCCCTTGTCTCTCTCTCTTTTTTTTAACTTTAAAAAGATACAGAGGCAGGGTTTCGCCATGTTGTCCAGGCTGGTCTTAAACTCTGAGGTCAAAGGCAGCACTCTGGGATTGCAGGCGTGAGCCACTGCGTCCAGCAGATCCTGTCTCTTAAAACAAGAAAAAAAGGTTGGGCGCGGTGGCTCACGCCTGTAATCCCAGCACTTTGGGAGGCCAAGGCGGGCGGATCACGAGGTCAGGAGATCCAGACCATCCTGGCTAACGTGGTGAAACCCCGTCTCTACTGAAAATACAAAAAAATTAGCCGGGTGTGGTGGCGGGCGCCTATAGTCCCAGCTACACGGGAGGCTGAGGCAGGAGAATGGCGTGAACCTGGGAGGCGGAGCTTGCAGTGAGCCGAGATAGAGCCACTGCAGTACAGCCTGGGCGAAAGAGCGAGACTCCGTCTCAAAAAAAAAAAAAAAGAAAGAAAGAAAGAAAAAGATTCAAGACAAATGGGGAGTGGTGGGGAGGGTGGAGGGGACATAGATTAAGTCCCCATAAGCAGCCTGAATTTAATGAAATAGGTTGGCATGGCTATCCAGAGGGCAGCCCCCAAGGCCAGGGACGCTGGGTGTGGACAGGAAAGGTTTGCTACACACAGTGTGATGTCTCTTGAGGTTAGAGAACCTGTGCCTCTTTGGGAGGATGTAGTTTGCCCTAGGCCTGGATTTCGGTAGAATGAGCAAGAGTTAGCCTTGAAGTCCTGTTCAGGTGGGCCCCCTCTTGCCCTGTACCCAGAATGAGCTGATGTGAGATGCCGAGAGTGGCTTCGTTGGGAAGAGAGCCCGGACCTTGCTTCCCGTTGGCCTTCCAGGATGCTAACTGCTCGGGCCGAACATCCTGTGGGAAGATAATCCCCTGCTTGTACTGAGAAATTCAGAAGCAGGAGGCCGGGCGCGGTGGCTCACGCCTGTAGTCCCAGCACTTTGGGAGGCCGAGGCGGGCGGATCACTTGAGATCAGCCTGGCCAACATGGTGAAACCCCGTCTCTACTAAAAATACAAAAATTAGCCAGGCATGGTGGCGGGCATCTCTAATCTCGCGACTTGGGAGGCTGAGGCAGGAGAATCACTTGAACCAGGGAGGCGGAGGTTGCAACGAGCCGAGCTCACACCACTGCGCTCCAGCCTGGGGAACAAGAGCAAAACCCCATCTCAAAACAAAGAAAAGAAATTCAGAAGCAGGAATCCTGGGCCAGCTTCATCCTCAGACCGAAGAGAACTGTAGAATTCTGATTGACATCTTCCAAAAACCTACCCTCTCCAAACCAAAAGCAGTTTTTGCTGACATCTGGTCTTTCTGGAATGCTGATATTTTTATTTATAAAATGATGCTATTATCCCCAAATAGATTCTTATTTTTAACAGGCTTTCTCCCTTTGAGGGCTGCCTGAGGCTCATAACTTTGTTCTCTGGCATCTCAGTGTTACCCTGAAAAGACAAGAAGGCTCCTGGGCTCTGCCAGGAGCAGAGAGATAGGGAGGGTTGCCAGCCGGAAAGTCAGACAACTGCTTGTATTCTGCATTACCTCCCTCCTTGGCCCCATCAGCCTCAGTCCATGAAGGAGAAACCTTCAGTGAGCGGTCATTGCCCCTGAACTAATGCCCCTGTGAGTCACACAGGAAGGGGCGCAGGTGAAGAAGGGGCCTCATGGGGCCTAGTTCTCTGTCCCCTCCTCCTCCCCTTCCCTGGTGCATCCTCCCCACTGAGGTTTCTCTGCTTCTTATCTCTCAGCTGCCCAACATGTTCGGCGACCTTCGGTCCACGTTTATTGCCTTGATGATTGGGTCCTACGCCTCCTCGGCAGTCACCTTTCCAGGAATCAAGGTGAGCACGTGTATTTTGCACTGGTGTCTGTGCAGAGGCCTGCTCCAGGCTCCTTCCACCCTCTCTGAAGAGGGAGGCAATTGTGGGCACCCGGGGTGGCCCCTCTCCACCACCCCCACCCGGGCAGGATGCACCTGGGCATCACAGGGGCGACAAATGAAAACCGCGGGGCCTCAGGGGACGGGAATCACGCATGTGGCTGCAGGATCTGCCGCAGGTGCCTTTGCATTTCGGGGCTGGGGCAGGGGAAGGGCGGTGGGTGAGTCTGTTTCCAGTTGTGAGTCTTGCCCCCGTCTCCTCCGTCATCCTGGTCTCCCGCTGCTCCCCTGCTCCCCAACCCCCAGCCTGCTGTTATTGTACCGTTACTCCCCGCCAGCCAAAGCACTGCTCTTGGCCAAGTGTTTCAGCTGTTTCCCTCCTAGGCAGGATTTTGAGCCTGTGGAAGTCACACAGGGTCAGGACGAAGCAAACACCTCACAGTCCATCAGCCCAAGTTCCCCAGACCCTGTGGGTCTGCCAGGGCCCCGTAGGGGCTTCTCCCACCTCTGACCCTCACACTAAGTAAAAGCCCCTTTCCTCGGTGGTGTGTGTGGGAATGCTGTTGGCGAGGAGAGGGGGACACGGTGTGGGCTGGCCACCTGGGCATTGAAGTGGTGGGAGCTGGGACTCTGGGGCCAGCCATCCTATGGACTTGCAGAGATTCTCATGCCCCTGGACTGGGGAGCATCCCGAAAGTTCTTCCTCCTCCTTTTTTTGGGGGGGAACAGGGTCTTGCTCTGTCGCCCAGGTTGGAGTGCAGCAGCACGATCTCGGCTCACTGCAACCTCCACCTCCCAGGTTCAAGTGATTCTCCTGCCTCAGCCTCCCAAGGAGCTAGGATTACAGGTGCCCGCCACCATGCCCGGCTAATTTTTGTATTTTTAGTAGAGATGGGGTTTCACCATGTTGGTCAGGCTGGCCTGGAACTCCTGACCTCATGATCCGCCCACTTTGGCCTCCCAAAGTGCTGGGATTACAGGCGTGAGCCACCATGCCTGGCTTCCTTGAGCATTTCTTTGGCCTCTGCCATGTGAGCTCTCAGAGGCACTGGGGAAGCATCAGTGGACGGGGCTGGCCGGTTCCCGCCTTCAGGGAGCTCCGCTAATACCAGACAAGCCGACGGACCAGGAGCACCGTCCCCTCTGCTGGGCCGATCACTATGAGCCTGCAAGACGTGCCGTGGTCATGGCGGGGCGGTCAGGAAGGCCTCCGAGTCGGGGGGCTAATCACACGCCAGGCCCAGATGACCAGCAGGGCAGGCACGGTGGGAGGACTGGAAGGCGGGTGCCTGATGCCCCAACGCCCAGGCTGGCAGGGCTGTGCCTCTTTGCGCGGCTCAGCACAGGGACAGCAGGGGTGGCCAGACGCCCCTGCCTGCTGCGGCTCTGGCCTCCCCGGGCTAACTCTGCCCCCTCCCCCCCCCACCCCGTCCCCGCGGTGCCTGTCAGCTCATCTATGATGCTGGTGTCTCCTTCATCGTCGTCCTCGTGGTCTGGGCCGGCTGCTCCGGGCTGGTTTTCCTCAACTGCTTCTTTAACTGGCCCCTTGAGCCCTTCCCGGGGCCGGAGGACATGGACTACTCGTAAGTAGAGGTGCCCCCGTCCCGCCTGCCCCCAGCCCCCGCCCCCCAGCCGGGGTCCCGGGCAGCACCCACAGACACTCTCCCGGGGCCCCAGGGTGAAGATCAAGTTCAGCTGGCTGGGCTTTGACCACAAGATCACAGGGAAGCAGTTCTACAAGCAGGTGACCACGGTGGGCCGGCGCCTGAGTGTGGGCAGCTCCATGAGGAGTGCCAAGGAGCAGGTGGCGCTGCAGGAGGGCCACAAGCTGTGCCTGTCCACCGTCGACCTGGAGGTGAAGTGCCAGCCGGATGCCGCAGGTACCCGCCTGAGACCGCAGCCGGGCGACGGGCAGGGAGTGCTCTGTGGGTATCGGCTCACCCCATTCCCACCTCACCCCAAAAGGGGAGGCGGCCCCGCCCGCCCTGTTCTGCAGAGGCGCTCAGGAAGGCCTGGGGGAGGGAAAGGGATTTGCCTGATTTCACCCAAGAGGTGACCCCACCGCAGCGCCAACCCCGTTACCCTCACCAGGCCCGTCCCGAGGGCCCCCTCCTGGCCTCCAGCGTGGAGGGATCTGCGTGTCCCCCCGGTGGTGGGGACAGTGTGCCCCGGCCCTGAGCCCCGCACCCTCTCCCTGCAGTGGCCCCCTCCTTCATGCACAGCGTGTTCAGCCCCATCCTGCTGCTCAGCCTGGTCACCATGTGCGTCACGCAGCTGCGGCTCATCTTCTACATGGGGGCTATGAACAACATCCTCAAGTTCCTGGTCAGCGGCGACCAGAAGACAGGTAGGTGCCCCGGGCAGCCTCGGTCGCTGTCACTCCCCGGCCTGAGCCCAGCCCACTGGCCACCGGCCAGAATGTGTTAAGCTGAGCCGGGCCAGCCGGGCCATGGAAAGGCCGCATCCCAGGAGCTGTCTGCCCGTCAGAGCTATTGCATCACTGCCAGCCCCAACTGTTTCTTCGTGTCCCCATCAGGGTTTCCTGGTCCAGGAGGGAGGGAAGGACCAAAATAGCCTCCTGGGTGTGGGGTGTGGGGTGTGTGTTTTCCAGTGCCTGAGGGGGAGGGTTGCCGTGTGTGTCTGTAAATGAAAACAGAACAGAACGCTCCACCTGAGCATGGCTGAAAGACAGCAGGTCAAGCCCAAAGTCCTCCCAGAAAGTGGCACGGTGGGTGCGTGGACACCCTGGGCATCGAGGTCAGGACGGGGCTGGAGACGCTGGGGCAACTGGCCCACACTGGGATCTGCATCCCTCACCGAGAAACAGGGCAGGGCAGAGACTTCCTCGGAGCTTGCGAACAGTTGAGGCTTGTCAGCTCCAACAAACACAGCTGATAACCCACAGTCCACTTTTCCAAACAGGGCAGGTCTTCAGCTGATTAGAGGTTTTGATTCTACAGAGAAAGTCAGGACTTCCCCGGGGCCTGAGCTGAGTCAGCCTTAGTCATCCCCAGGCGGGACAAACACTCCAAATCCTTTTTATTGGCAGCCTCCCTGGTGTGCCACTTTTTCCGATGGTTTCCTTGTTTTTATCAAGGTGAAGATACCCTAGGACTTGTGAAGAATCAGTTATCAGGTTTTTAGGGGATGAGAAATCCAGCTTTATCAAAAGGAAAAGATAGCAAAGGGAACCAGATAACAGCCAGTTCTACTGTGAAAATGGTAGTCTAGGCCAGGCACGGTGGCTCACGCCTGTAATCCTAGCCCTTTTGGAGGCTGAGGCAGGTGGATCATGAGGTCAGGAGTTCAAGACCAGCCTGGCCAAGATTGTGAAACCCCCATCTCTACTAAAAATACAAAAAATTAGCCAGGCGTGGTGGTGGGCCCCTGTAATCCCTGCTACTTGGAAGGCTGAAGCAGAGAATTGCTTGAACCCAGGAGGTGGAGGTTGCAGTGAGCCGAGATTGCGCCACTGCACTCCAGCCTGGGCGACAGAGTGCGACTCCATCTCAAAAGAAAAAAAAATATCTGTGGAACACACTTTGGGGAACCCTAATCTATCATGTCTCTTTCTTTCTTGTTTTTTTGAGGCAGGGTCTCTTTCTGCGTTGCTTAGGCTGGAGTGCAGTGATGTGAACGCTGCAGCCTTGACCTCTTAGGGCTCCCCAGGTGCGCGCCACCACACCCAGCTAATTTTTAAATTCTTTGCAGAGATAGGGTCTTGCTGTGTTGCCCAGGTTGGTGTCGAACTCCTGGGCTCAAGGGATCCTCCCCTCTTGGCCTCCCAAAGTGCTGGGATTACAGGCGTAAACCTCCACACCCAGCCTGATAAACATTCAGCCCTGGAGTGGCGGAAACCCCAAAGTGTGCAGAGAGAGCTGGTCCCTGGCCCTCGAAAGGCTCATCTCCCTGCTGCTGAGTCAGCGTCTTTTACTCAAGCTGTCTGAGAAATCTTTTGCTGCCCAGGAGGAATGTTTCCAACTGTTTCGTATGTTCAAAAAGTCAATTTCAAGAAGTAGAGGAAGCCAGGCCAGGAAGGTTGGTCTGTGGCAGACGAGGCACTGGTTTTCCCCCTCCTCCTTCTGTGACCCGTTACACCCAACACCCATAGCCCTAGCTCCGGCCGAGAGGCAGCTGCAGGGTCCGGGTCACTTTCCGCACACTCGTGAGCTTTGCGGCTCCGCAGGAGGGGGTGTGCCGTGCTGCTGAGGAACGGCTCAAAGCACCAGAGCCATCGCCTCCGCGTACGGCCCCGCGACCACCCGCGGCAGAGGCTCCCGGGTGCTGGTTCCGAATGGAGACTCCAGGCCTTGCCGCTGACCGGTGACTCTGCTGCCTCCCAGCGTTTGAGACCCGCCATCAAACAGGAGTTGCGGATTCAGGGAAACCCTAACTAGCCAGGGTGCTGGCAGCTGGGAAAAGGCCGCCTTTTTTTTTTTTTTTTTTTTTTTGAGTTGGGGTCTTGCTCTGCCACCCAGGCTGGAGTGCAGTGGTGCAACTGATAGCTCACCACGGCCTCCGACTCCTGAGCTCAAGGGATCCTCCCACCTCGGCCTCCTAAGTATCTGGGACTACAGGTGTGTGCCACCATGCCTGGCTAATTTGTTTTTTTTTTTTTTCCATAAAGACAAGGTCTTGCTATTTTTCCCAGGCTGGTCTCAAACTCCTGGGCTCAAGCAGTTCTCCCACCTCAGCCTCCCAAAGTGCTGAGATTATAGGCATGAGCCACAATGCCCAGCCAAAAATACAGTCTTTTTTTTTTGACATGGATTTTCGCTCTTGTCACCCGGGCTGGAGCACAGTGGCATGAGCTCGGCTCACTGCAACCTCCGCCTCTCGGGTTCAAGCGATTGTTCTGCCTCAGCCTCCCAAGTAGCTGGGGTTACAGGCACCTGCCACCATGCCCAGCTAATTTTTGTATTTTTAGTAGAGACGGAGTTTCACCATGTCTCCAACTCCTGACTTCAAGTGATCCACGTGCCTCAGCCTCCCAAAGTGCTGAGATTACAGGCGTGAGCCACGATGCCCAGCCAAAAAGCCAGTCTTGAGATGGGGAAGACGTGGCCCATGCTGTCCTCAGCAGTGCCCAGTCCCAGCCAAAGTGGGCACTGCTGCCTCACTCTCCCACCCACCCTCAGGGTGTGGCACTTACTGGGAAGAAGCAGGCATTGAGAAACAGAATTAAGGGGGGAAAACAGTCCAGGGCCAACAGTGCTTGGGGATTGAGGCCTGAAAATGGGAGCAGGGTACAGAGGCTGTGGCTGGCCAGATGGGTCGGGTGCCCCCTGCACCCCCACCCCCTAGTCAGGGGCCACCTGTCCTACCCTCCCTTTGTAAGAGTTGACAGGTGACATGTTTTCCTATTGTTGTCCTTGACTTGATAACAATCTAGGAGTTAAATAGATACTATCATCTGTTTACGTCATCATTTATGATAGATACTATCATCATATACACCTGAAAAACGAGGCCTGGAGTGATGGAGGAGCTTGTTCAAGGTCAGAGCCAGCACTCACATATGGGTCTTAAGACACTGGAGCAGCCAAGGGCCTCTAGACCAGGACATTCCACTCGGAGCAGCAGCTCAGGGGCCACCAGGCCTCTGTGGCAGGGGGGCCATGGCCCAAGGAAGGGGAGCAGGCCCAGGCATGGTCCCCGTTTCTTGGAGTGGAAGGGAGACCAGCTCTGGCCATCTGGAGGAGACCCATGGTGTCAGATGCCTTGGCTGGGCATCAGGGGCAGGTTCTTTGACCTTTCCCTCTCTCTGAGCACAGCAGGAGGTAGATGTGACAGAGCCGCTTCCCGCAGGCAGTGTGGTGACAGGGACCCTGATTGCACCAGGTCTTCCGCATGCCCGCCACTTCCCCATCACGCTACCCGCCAACGTCACAGGCCTGATTCACCAGTCCGCCTGTGACCCGGCACCAGCAGACAGGAGAATGTCAGCAGGGGCCCGGGCTGGGCATTGTCCCAAGTCCACTTCCAGAGGCCTGGCTGCAGCTCTGCCTCCCCTGAGCGCCCCGAGTCACGCTTAGTGGGAAATGCAGTGCGGGAAACGCAGTGTGGGAAATGCAGTGCGTGCTGGGCATGGAGTGAGCCTGCCTCCTCTCCCATCTCTCTGTAGCACTGAGATTTCTGCCACTAACCTCTCTTCTTTCTGCTTTTTCACTTTTGCTTTCTTGATGCAGTGATGGCCACGGGTAAGCGGGGGGTGGGGGGGATTGTCAGGGAATGCTGTGATGTCCCCTCCCAGCCAGTCTCTGTTCAACCCAGAAGCTCCTCACCTCAAGCTCCAGACATGCCTCCTGGCTAGAGCCGTGGGGGTAAAACTGGGGCAATCAACATTCCTCGTCTGCTTCCCTGGAAAATCCACTGTCATTTTAAGTCTTTGAATATGGAAGCCCTGACATCAGAGCCCCGTGAGCGGTGCCTTTCTGGGATATTTCTTTTTTTTTTGAGATGGAGTCTTGCTCTGTTGCCCAGGGTGGAGTGCAGAGGCATGATCTTGGCTCACTGCAACCTTCACCTCCCGGGTTCAAGTGATTCTCCTTGTAGCCTCCTGAGTAGCTGGGGTTACAGGTGCCTGCCACCACGCCCAGCTAGTTTTTGTATTTTTAGTAGAGACGGGGTTTCACTGTGTTGGTCAGTCTGGTCTCGAACTCCTGACCTCGTGATCCGCCCACCTCGGGCTCCCAAAGTGCTGGGATTACAGGCATGAGCCACCGCGCCCAGCCGTTCTGGGCTATTTCTAGAGACAGAAACTAACGGCCCGTCACTTAGCCTCCGTCACAGGAGTTCCCAAGTTATAGCGACTTCCTGGAGCTCTGGGAAGGCCATTGTGACACTCTGGGTTTCATTAGCTGTTTCTTAGAAACAAGCAGGGGATTTGGAACCGAGAAGAAGGTGACCTGCCCCGTGCTCCATCCTCAACTTCAGAGTTAAGGTCTCCGGGCTCCTCGCAAGACCCATAGTGACAGGGGGTTCTGGGGCAGACCCCAGAAGAGCCTGTGGGGACCAGCCCCTTCCCAGCTGGTGCCCAGTCCCTGCTCCAGGGCTGTCTGCCAGGCGTCCCCATGACGCAGCGCCTTCCTCCACAGTTGGCCTCTACACCTCCATCTTCGGCGTGCTCCAGCTGCTGTGCCTGCTGACGGCCCCCGTCATTGGCTACATCATGGACTGGAGGCTGAAGGAGTGTGAAGACGCCTCCGAGGAGCCCGAGGAGAAAGACGCCAACCAGTGCGTAGGCAGGGCCGGTGCCCCGGCTCCCAGCCCGCAGCCCCTGCAGAAAGACCCCAGAGCTGCATGTCAGGCACAGGGTGGGTGGGACAGAGGGAGAGAGCAATGCACTCCAGCTGCTCCCGGAGCCCTTAGAGAGACTCACTCATTCAGCTCAGCATGCGTTTCAACTGCTCCCCTCTTTATGGAAATTGTTTGGAATGCAATGGAAATGCTAAAGTTTGAGGCCAGGTGCGGTGACTCATGCCTGTAATCCCAGCACTTTGAAAGGCTGGGGTAGGAAGATCACTTGAGGCCAGGAGTTGGAGACCAGCCTGGGAAACATGGCCAGCCCCCACTCCCCGTCTCTACAAAAAATTTAAAAATTGGCCAGGGAGGGTGGTTCATGCCTATAATACCAACACTTTGGAAGGTTGAGGTGAGTGAATTGCTTGAGCCCAGGAGTTAGTGACCAGCCTGGCCAATGTGGTAAAACCCGGTCTCTACTAAAAATACAAAAAATTAGCCAGGTGCGGTGGCGGCGCGCGCCTGTAATCCCAGCTACTCAGGAGGCTGAGGCGCGAGAATTGCTTGAACCCGGGAGGTGGAGGTTGCAGTGAGCCGAGATCACGCCATTGCACTTCCAGCCTGGGCAACAGAGCAAGACTGTCTCAAAAAGAAAAAACAATAAAGAAGAAGCATTGAGTAAGAAGGAAGAAAAAGAGACACAGGTGAAAGTGTACAGACAATGGCTAGCAGACCATTTTGCTCCTAAGACCACCCTCCCTCCACCCCTTGGCAGTGGCTACACCATCTTAAAGCCTCCCAAAGTACTGGGATTAACAGGTATGAGGCACCGCGCCCGGCTCAGATGGTGACTTTCATTCATTGCATTCAATCATGCAGCCCACCAACCCTTTGTTATCTGCCTGCAAGGTTTATTCCGGTCAGTTTGAGTAGTGAGTTGCTATAAACATATTATGTGTTAATAGAGTTGTTCATGATTGTGAAGATTAAACAAGGTACTGGAGTCCTACTTTATGTAAGGGATGGGCTCCAAGATCAGAGGATGAGTTAAACGCTGTTTTCTTTTTTCTTTTTCTTTTTTTTTTTTGAGACGGAGTCTCGCTCTGTCGCCCAGGCTGGAGTGCAGTGGCTCTATCTCGGCTCACTGCAACCTCCGCCTCCCGGGTTCACACCATTCTCCTGCCTCAGGCTTCCAAGTATCTGGGACTACAGGCGCCCGCCACCACGCCCGGCTAATTTTTTTAATATATATTTTTAGTAGAGACAGGGGTTTCACAGTGTTAGACAAGATGGTCTTGATCTCCTGATCTTGTGATCCGCTTGCCTCGGCCTCCCAGAGTGCTGGGATTACAGGCATAAGCCACCACGCCCAGCCAAACGCTGTTTTCCATGGCTCCACACCTTAATATAATAAGCTACGGTTTATTGCCTGAGGCCCTCCACCGAGGACTCCATGCACAGTATCTCAGTGAAGACTCCCAGCACCCTGGCGAAGTGGGGACCAGTGTTATACCCATTTTACAGATGAGGGAGCTGAGGCTGGGACTTGCAGTAGTTTGCCTAGGGCCGCACAGTTAGGAAGTGGTGGGCCTGGGACTCCCTGCACATCTGTGAGCACCTGGGGTCCGTTCTTGGATCATCCAGGGTGTCTGCGTGGGTGTGAGACTGGGATCGGTAATCGTTCATTCACGAGAGATAATTGCAGAGGGTGCTTGGCCGGGCGCGGTGGCTCACACCTGTAATCCCAGCACTTTGGGAGGCCAAGGCGGGTGGATCACAAGGTCAGAAGATCGAGACCATCCTGGCTAACATGGTGAAACCCTGTCTCTACAAAAACGCAAAAATTAGCCGGGTAAGGTGGCGCGTGCCTGTAGTCCCAGCTACTCGGGAGGCTGAGGCAGGAGAATCGCTTGAACCCAGGAGGCAGAGGTGGCAATGAGCCGAGATCACACCACTGCACTCCAGCCCGGGTGACAGAGCGAGACTCCATCTCAAAAAAAAACCCAAAGAACAAAAAAACAAAACAAAACAAAACAAAAAACAGTGCTGTGCTATCTAGGTCAGGTCCTGCAGCCAAGAGGTTATTTGTGTCCACTCCAGTTCCATCTGCTGCCTGCTCATTTCCCCTTTACCCTCTCCTGTCCCCACAAGGGGAAACCCATTCACTCCCCTATTTGGCTTGTATCTGGCTTCTTATCAGCGTCCTGCAAGATTTGGGTGAACTTGAAGCCAGTGGTGAAGTGAGGCTTTGCCATGTGCCAGCTCAGGCACACGCTGCTACTTCTCTCCCCGTCGTCTTAGCTCAGCCTTCACAGAGCACTGCAGCATATGGATGGCCATCTTCTTGTACCCGAGACCCCCTCCGAGAGTCACACTCAGCTTGCCACTGAGAAGGGCCGGGGAGTGTCCGTAGTGCTGGTCCAGCCCCGACACAGTCCCTAAAACGTGCCTGGGTGGCTTCTGAGTCTTGCGTCAGTTTACCTGCTGCGACGCTTGAGGCCTGACTTCTCAGGAGCACCCGGCTTCCTCCGGGGAGCCCTCCCACCCCTGCACGTTCTGTGTCTCCACAGAGGCGAGAAGAAAAAGAAGAAGCGGGACCGGCAGATCCAGAAGATCACTAATGCCATGCGGGCCTTCGCCTTCACCAACCTGCTGCTCGTGGGCTTTGGGGTGACCTGCCTCATTCCCAACCTGCCTCTCCAGGTGGGTGTGGGGAGTGGGAGGGGCAGGTGGGAGGTGGGGCAGTCAGAAGGAACATGTAAAGACTCAAAAGTGTGTAATGTTTCATGGAAGCCATCAACAAAGCGGATGACTTTCTTTATTTTTTTGAGACAGAGTCAAACTCTGTTGCTCAGGCTGGAGTGCAGTGGTGTGATCTCGGCTCACTGCAACCTCAGCCTCCTGGGTTCAAGCGATTCTCCTGCCTCAGCCTCCCGAGTAGCTGGGATTACAGGTGCGCACCATCACGCCCAGCTAATTTTTGTATTTTCAGTAGAGATGGGGTTTTGCCATGTTGGCCAGGCTAGTCTCGAACTCCTGACCTCAGGCGATCCACCCGCCTTGGCCTCCCAAAGTGCTGGGATTTTACAGGTGTGAGGCACCGTGCCCAGCTCAGATGATGACTTTCATTCATTCCACTCAACCGAGCAGCCCACCAGCCCTTTGTTATTTGCGGAGGGCCTGTTCCCTGCCAGGCTCTGTGCTTGCTGCTGCAGGTGAGCTGGACACCTGGATTGTCTTCTGCAAAGGGACTCCTCCCCGGAAGGCATGTCTTGGTTTTGGGGGCGTCTTGCATAACCGTGGATACCACCATCATGCCATTTCCCGGAAGTGTGTGGGGTCGCTGTAGAGTTCCTTGTTTTGTATCGGCTCAAGCAGCTGGAATCTGACGTCCAAAGAGATCTGGCCAATCTGTGGTGTTGGTGGGAGCATCTGCTCCCCTGTCACCAGAGTCTCACGGGGTTTCTACACTGAACAGAGTGGAGGAAGACCTTGATGGTGGCTTCATATCTGGATTCAAAAGCTTCATTCCAGGCCGGTGGCTCATGCCTGTAATCTCAACACTTTGGTAGGTGGAGGCAGGTGGATTGCTTGAGCTCAGGAGTTTGAGACCAGCCTGGGCGACTTGGTGAAACCCTGTCTCTACAGAAAATATAAAAGTTAGCTGGGCATGGTGGCACACTCCTGTAATCCCAGCTACTCGGGAGGCTGAGGCAGGAGAATCATTTGAACCTGGGAGGCGGAGGTTGCAGTGAACTGAGATCGCGCCACTGCACTCCAGCCTGGATGACAGAGTGAGACTCTGTCTCAGAAAAAAAAACCAAAAAAAACCAAAACACTTTGGGAGGCTGAGGCAGGTGGATCACGAGGTCAGGAGTTTGAGACTAGCCTATCCAAAATGGTGAAACCCCGTCTCTACTAAAATTACAAAAATTAGCTGGGCGTGGTGGCACATGCCTGTAATCCCAGCTACTCAGGAGGGCTGAGGCAGGAGAATTGCTTGAATCCGGGTGGCAGAGGTTGCAGTGAGCCGAGATTGCGCCACTGCACTCCAGCCTGGGCGACAGAGTGAGGCTGTGTCTCAAAAAAAAAAAAAAAAACTGAATTTCTTTGCCAAACTTTTGAGGCTTCTGGAACCTGATTTTTGACAGAGATTTTGAGTAAGGTGGCCCTTGTCACCTGCCTGGCTCCACCCACTGGTCTGTGAAAGTGGTCTAGCAGTAGGTTTTGGCCCAATCCCTAAATTTACAAATGGTGGAGGGACGCAAGTGTGGCTTTTCCTTCCAGAGAGGTGTAGCCTGAGTCCAGATGGCATCTTGGGTCAAGTCCAGGAGGGAAGTAAGAGTCCCTCCCTTTTTACAGGAGGCCTTGAGGTACGTTGAACACCCAGGTGTGCCCCACCGTGGGAACTGTTGTGTGTACGTGCCAACACTGGGCGTGCAGAGCGCAGCGGGCCGTGGAACATTTGTGCCGGCCCCAGGGGGTGCTGCATCCCTCCGGCCCTCCCTGGCCTCCTGGGCTGCTTTCTCTGCAAGACTGGCAGACCTTTGCCCTAACCGCCTTGTCCAGTCGAGGGGCAGTGCTCAGTGGGGACAGTCATCTTTTTGTTTTATGTAGGTCTCACTGAAAGAAAAGTTGTAAAAAGGCAACAAGGCATTTGAGGTGGGGAGGCCTGCACAGCGTGCGTGTGTGTGTGTGTGTGTGGGCACTGGGCACAGCCCTCTTTCAACACTGCCAAGAGCAGCCCCTGCCCCCCCACCACCCACATTCCTGGGAACAGGTCCTGGCTGCTGAGCGGGATGGCAGGGCTGTGTACAGAAGACAAGGCGACCACAGGGACCTGGTGGCCAAGAGGATGGCTCTTAAAAAGTGCCTCTCGGAGTTGGCGGAGTCCGCCAGCAGCAGCCTTCCTGGGCAGGGGGCCTCCCACAGACAGCGACAGAACTTTACTAGGACCAGCCTGGGCAATATGGCGACACCCTGTCTCTACTAAAAATAAAAATTAGCCAGGTGTTGTGGAGTGCACCTGTAGTCCCAGCTACTCAGGAGGCTGAGGTGGGAGAATCTCGGCTCACTGCACCCCGGGAAGTTGAGGCTGCAGTGAACTGAGATTGCACCAGTGCACTCCAGCCTGGGCAACCGGAGTGAGACCTTGTCTCAAAAAAAAAAAAAAAAAAATTAGCCGGGCCTGGTGGCACATGCCTGTAATCCCAGCTACTCAGGAGGCTGAGGGAGAACAATCGCTTGAACCCAGGAGACAGAGGTTGCAGTGAGCCGAGACCACACCACTGCACTCCAGCCTGGGGTGTAGAGCGAGACCGTCCCAAAACAAAACCAAACAAAACAGAACAAACCACAAAAAGAAAACAAAACAAAAAGCGAAGAAACACTTCACGAGGGAGGTGAGAGGGCAGCCACCTGCTGGGAGGGCCGGGTGACCAGGCTTGGGAGACCCTGGAGCACAGTCCGAGGTGGGCAAAGGCAGCTCGAGGCCGTGGTCAGCAACCTCTTGCTCAGTGCTGTGCCCATACACGTCTGTCAGCAGGGCCCTGGTTCTAGTGTTTGCCGACTTCCACGGTGCACATGCACTCACCGTGGCTGATTTCCAGCTGCCCATGTGTTGCCACTGACTGTGGAACTGGAGAGTCACAGTGACACGTGGTATTTCTACAGTAGATGTGAAAAGCCTGGCCGGGCACGGTGGCTCACGCCTGTAATCCCAGCACTTTGGGAGGCCAACGCGGGTGGATCACCTGAGGTCAGGAGTTCGAGACCAGCCTAGTGAAACCCCGTCTCTACAAAAAATACAAAAATTAGCCGGGCTTGGTGGCATGCACCTGTAATCCCAGCTACTAGGGAGGCTGAGGCAGGAGAATTGCTTGAATCCAGGAGGCGGAGCTTGCAGTGAGCCGTGCCACTGCATTCCAGCCTGGGCTACACAGCAAGACTCTGTCTCCAAAAAAAAAAAAAGGAAAGCCTGATGCGTGCACAGGCTCTAGTGAACCAAGTAAAATAATTAGGAAGGGATGAGGTTTTCCATGGTTTTGTTCGTTCATTTTGTTTTTTTTTGAGACAGGGTCTCACTCCCATCAGCCAGGCTCGAGTGCAGTGGTGGGATCTTGGCTCACTGCAGCCTTGACTTCCCGAGCTCAGGTGATCCTCCCACCTCAGCCTCCTGAGTAGCTGGGACTACGGGCACGTACCACCAAGCCCAGTTAATTTTTATATTTTTTTGCAGAGATGGGGTCTTGACATGTTGCCCAGGCTGGTCTGGAACTCCTGGGCTCAAGTGATCCTCCCAGGCCTCCCAGAGTGTGGGGATTACAGGTGTGAGCCACTGCACCAGGCCAGGAAGTGATGAGTTTTCAGAGTTTTGAGTATTCATTACCTTTACTTTAATATAATTTATTTATTTAGTCATAAATTTATGTAATTTTTTTTTTTTTGAGACAGAGTCTAGCTCTGTCACCCAGGCTGGAGTGCAGTGGTGCTATCTCGGCTCACCGCAACCTCCGCCTCCCCGGTTCAAGCGATTCTCCTGCCTCACCCTCCTGAGTAGCTGGGAATACAGGCGCCCGCCACCACACCCGGCTAATTTTTGTATTTTTAGTAAAGATGGGGTTTCACTGTGTTGGCCAGGCTGATCTCAAACTCCTGACCTCATATGATCCACCCACCTCAGCCTCCCAAAGTGCTGGGACTACAGGTGTGAGCCACCATTCTCGGCTTATAATTTAATTATTATTATTATTATTATTTTTTTTTTTTGAGACAGAGTCTCACTTTGTCACCAGGCTGGAGTGCAATGCCGTGATCTCAGCTCACTGCAACCTCCACCTCTTGGTTCAAGCGATTCTCCTGCCTCAACTTCCCAAGCAGCTGAGATTACAGGTGCCCACCACCACGCCCAGCTAATTTTTTGTATTTTTAGTAAAGACAGGGTTTCGCCATGTTGGCCAGGCTGGTTTCGAACTCCTGACCTCAGGTGATCCACCTCCTCGGCCTCCCAAAGCACTGGGATTACGGGCGTGAGCCACCTTGCCCAGCCTATAATTTAATTTTTAATAATGACTCGGTTAGGCTGGGCGCAGTGGCTCATGCCTGTAATCCCATCATTTTGGGAGGCTGAGGCGGGTGGATCACAACGTCATGAGTTTGAGACCAGCCGGGCCAACATGGTGAAACCCCATCTCTGCTTAAAAAATACAAAAATTAGCCGGGCATGGTGGCGTGGGCCTGTAATCCTAGCTACTCCGAAGGCTGAGGCAGGAGAATTGCTTGAATCCAGGAGGCGAAGCTTGCAGTGAGCCAAGATCACGCCACTGCACTCCAGCCTGGGCGACAAAGCAAGACTTCTTCTCAAACAAAACAAAAAACAAAACAAACAAACAAACAAAAAATGACTGTGTTAACGACTGGCTTGCAAAATTTCTGAAAATTCACAATTGGCTCCGGAGGATGGGGTTGATCCAACTCCAGGCTGACACTGCCCCTGGGGTGAGGGCCCCCAGGAATTGGAGGGCGGGGGCTGAGGGGACGGTCCCTTAAGGCCTTATGCCCACAGTCGCCTTTTCCTCCCCCAGATCCTCTCCTTCATCCTGCACACAATCGTGCGAGGATTCATCCACTCCGCTGTCGGGGGCCTGTACGCTGCCGTGTAAGTCCTGGAAGCCGCAGGTGGCCTGGTGGGCGAGGGTGTGGGAATGGCCGGGGGGAGGTTGCTGGTGGGACTGAGACTCTGAGGCAGGGTCAGCCTGTCCCAGAAGGGCTCATCTTCCTGCTTCAGGGGACAGGTACCAGGGTTTCTGCTGGGTGTTTCAGGGAAAGGCCATACCTCGTGGGAAGCAGGTCAGTGGGCAGACAGTTGGGTGCTCACAAGCCTTGGCATTCAACACGAAGTCAGTTCCCCCAGCCAGGGTCAGGCACCTGTGCAGCTCATTATGGCCTCAGGGGCCACTACAGCCGAGTCCTGGGGCTGGCCCTGGCTGCTCACTGGGAAGGATGGGTAGGTTCTGGCTGCCTGAAGCTAAATGCGGAAGTTCCAGTTGCCCTCATCACGGGCAGCAACATGGGTGACTGAGTCCAGAATACACCAGACGGGCCCATCCAGAGCCTCAGTGCGCCCAGCTCTGGCCATAGCTTTCTCCAGCCCTGGCTAAAATGAAACCTGTATCTTTTTCCAAGAAGCCCCAGAAACATAAAAGGAACCACAGTGGTTCCTTCTTCTCTGGCTCAGGCCTTGACCCAAAAACTGAAACTCAAACATCATCATCCACAGTCTCTGATGTGGGACCAGCTCATGTGTTGCTGGGATTCCTTTCCCACCTCTGGGCCAGCAGAGCCTGACATGTGCTAAGATTTAGCCCGGAACTCTCTCCCAATTCCCGCAACAGCCCCTGGGGTAATCCCAGCTCCGCTTGCCCTCCGCCTGCCCCTCCCCAGGCCTGGAGGAAGCTGTGGCTGTCCTGGCAGGGTCTGAGGGAGGGGGGCGGGATCTGTGGTGCTGAGTTTCCGCGATTACTCAATGCTTCTCTGGACGAGGGCACTGCAGAGCCAAGCCCAGCCTCCACACTCCTCTCTGGGCCTGTTTCCCAAACCGCAGGTCCCCGCTGGCACCACGCTTTCCACTCGGCTCAGCCAGACACCCACAGGCCCTGGGCACAGCTGAGTGGGGTGGGCCCTCCCCAGAGTCTGGGGCCTGGAGCTGGTCCAAAGAGAAACACTTTGCAGAACCACCCAGCAGGGCCGGGCGCGGTGGCTCACGCCTGTAATCCCAGAACTTTGGGAGGCCGAGGCAGGCAGATCACAAGGTCAGGAGTTTGAGACCAGCCTGGCCAACGTAGTGAAACCCCGTCTCTACTAAAAATACAAAAAATTAGCCAGATGTGGTGGCGGGCGCCTGTAATCCCAGCTACTAGGGAGGCTGAGGCAGGAGAATTGTTTGGACTGGGGAGGCGGAGGTTGCAGTGAGCCGAGATCGTGTCATTGCACTCCAGCCCAGGCGACAGTGCAAGACTCCATCTTAAAAAAAAAAAAAAAAAAACAGAACTGCCCAGCAGGAAGGAATCCGAGGGCTGGCACCCCACCCTTCTCTGGCACCAACGGTGCAGCCCGGGGTCACCAGACACCTGGGGCCAAGCAAAGCCCAGGAGGCAGGATGGCTGTGAGCTGTCGCTTGCCCTGCAGGTACCCCTCCACCCAGTTCGGCAGCCTCACGGGACTGCAGTCTCTGATCAGCGCGCTCTTCGCCCTTCTGCAGCAGCCGCTGTTTCTGGCCATGATGGGTCCTCTCCAGGGAGACCCTCTGTGGGTAAGAGGGGTCGGGGGATGGTGGGTCATGGGCGCCTGCCCCCTTCTGCTAACTGCGAGCTGCAAGGTCCCCCTCGGGGGCTTCAGGGCCCCGAGGACATGTGGGAGCGTTGGTTAGGATTGGTTAAGAGTCCCTTTGTGAATGGTGGCTAGGCAGGAAAAGGAACATGTCCTCTCTGGACCTGATTTGGGGAGAAATAGAACAGAGTTCCTGGGCCGGGCGCGGTGGCTCACACCTGTAATCCCAGCACTTTGAGAGGCCGAGGCGGGAGCATCACTTGAGGTCAGGAGTTCAAGACCAGCCTGGCCAACATGGTGAAACCAGGTCTCTACTAAAAATACAAAAATTAGCCAGGTGTGGTGGCAGGTGCCTGTAATCCCAGATACTCGGGAGGCTGAGACAGGAGAATCACTTGAACCCGGGAGGCGGAGATTGCAGTGAGCTGAGATTGCGCCACTGCACTCCAGCCTGAATGACGACAGCGCGAGACTTCGTCTCAAAAAAAAAAAAAAAAAAAAAAAAAGAACACAGTTCCTGTCCCCGCCCCACCTCCGAGGGCCAGATTTCCTCACCAGGTACCAGGAACTTGTTCCAAGCCCAGAGGTTCAGATCAGCCCGTGTTTCCTGGGGGCCCAGGCCCTGAGGGTGGCCACATGGCCTGTGAAGAGTTGGGAACCGGGACGCTGGCATATGGGACCTCGTGGGCCTTCCTGTTTCGTTCCCCCTTCCACCCCGTGACCTTCTCCCCTTTCCCAAACCCGAGTGGAGGGCGGGTCTGCAGCCTCGGCGCACCACCACGCCCTGTGATGCGCGGCCTCCCTGCCTCCCCAGGTGAACGTGGGGCTGCTCCTTCTCAGCCTGCTGGGCTTCTGCCTCCCGCTCTACCTGATCTGCTACCGGCGCCAGCTGGAGCGGCAGCTGCAGCAGAGGCAGGAGGATGACAAACTCTTCCTCAAAATCAACGGCTCGTCCAACCAGGAGGCCTTCGTGTAGTGGCTGCCGCCTCGGAACTGCGGTCTCCTGCCTGTGCTTCAGTGACTGACCCCTGTCCTGCCCCTCCAGAGTACCCCACGCACCCCCAGGACCTTCGCCGTCTCCGTGCCAGCGTTCACGCTCCCTCCCGGGGCCCTGCCTCGGAGCTCTGTGGTGGAAGGACGGGAGAGGGCCCCGGACACGCGCGTTTTCTCCTGCCGAACGCAGGGGCTGCCCTGACTTTGCTCTGCCGCCCCCCGGGGACCCGGGGCCTGGGGTCTCTGTGGTGCCTGCAGCAGGAGCCAGGAACGCCCGGCAGGCAGGCGCTCTCCCGCCAGTGTCTGGATTCTGCCTCTTGCCAAAGCAGAGGGGGCTGCCATCCCCTGCCTGCCACCTGCCCCTCGGCTGCATGCCCACAGCCGTACCTGCCTGAGGACAAAGGCTTGCACTGTCTCGCCCGCGCCTGGCCCCCACCCCCTCCCCGGCCAGCCTGAGGCTGCCTGAGGAAGGAAGGACCCGCTTCCTGTTGTCGGTGCTAATTCCTTTGTAATTCCAGCCCCCTGTCGCCTGTCCAGGGCCTGCCCACCCGTTGGAGGCCGGTGGAGAAGCCCCACCTGGCTTATGCCCTGGAGAGGGTTTAGCGGGCTGGGTGGACCCCTCGCCTCCTCCCCGAGGGCCAATGCCGCGGACACGTTTTCACTGTCACCCTCGTTCTGTCTGCCACCTGAAGGGAATTTGAGGACCGCCGCCAGGGCACCCCGTACATACACACAGCTGCTTTTGTGGAGGTGGACGAAAGGCTGTGGCCGGCAGACGTGGAGGTCCAGGCCGGGGTGGGGACGTGGGTGGGTCCGAGGTGTGTGTGGGGTCGGGGTGGGCTCTAGGAGTTAGCCCTTATCCCCACTGACCAGGCGGGAGCCGCCAGGCCTGCAGCTGGGCCAGTGCCCAGGAGCCATCCTGGCGTGGGGCCAGGAGCTTGTCCAAGGCCACAGGCCCACAGCACCCCCTGCCGGCGGGCTCCGTGGGGCCCTGGAGCTGATGACGGGGGAGGCCCGTCCGCCTGGCCCACCAACCCGCCCACCTTGACTGCCCCCAGAAGTGTGTCTTGAGACCTCCTGGGCGTGCTTAGAGGGGTGAGTTGTGTTTGGATTTTTAGTTATTTTCTCTTCAGTTTTATTAGACTTCTTTTTTATAAAGCAATAAATCCATTTTCCTCCGGGTAAGGGATGCCCCTTCTGGCATATCAGTTAATAGCTGCATGTGCCTATTTTGAGCTTGAGAAGAAAAGGCAGGACAAGATTCTCTGCCACCGACCAGCTCCAGCCGTGCCCAGCTGCTCTTCGTCTCTCTGGGGGACTGCTGACTCGGGAGGGACAGTGGGCCAGGAAAAGACCTTCCTCCCCAACCCCCAAACAAACTGGGCTTGTGCAGACATCTTAGAAGTGTGAGCCACCCTCCTCTACCGATTTTCCCAGCCAAACAGGCGAATCCTGGTCCCTTTCCATCCCTACACCCTTCCACAACCCTGAAGATTCCCGCTGGGTTCTTCTGCAGGCTCAGAGCAGTTCAGGATGTGGGCGGCAGGGAGGGGGATGAAAGGAGAAGAGGAAAGGGCAGGTCCAGGCCACATTCAAGCTCCACATTAACAGCTTGGGCGCCTGGAACACATATCTCCTAGGCTTTATTTCACTCAAATATTTAAAAAAAGACTGGGCGTGGTGGCTCACGCCTATAATCCCAGCACTTTGGGAGGCCAAGGCAGGAGGCTCACCTGAGGTCAGGAGTTCGAGACCATCCTGACCAACATGGAGAAACCCCGTCTGTACTAAAAATAAACATTAATCGGGCGTGGTGGCGTGCGCCTGTAATCCCAACTACTCGGGAGCCTGAGGCAGGAGAATCGCTTGAACCGGGGAGACGGAGATTGCCGTGAGTCGAGATCGCACCATTGCACTCCAGCCTGGGCAACAGAGCGAGGCTCCGTCTCAAAAAGAAAAAAAAAAAGAGAACGAGATAAACATGCCCACTCCTGAGAACACTCGTTTTGTGATGTTAGTGGTTATTCTGATTTTCAAGAAAGTATTATAGTCAAGTTTGGGAAAGGCTGAGTTAAAAGTCAAGCCTGTTTCCTTACAGCCAGCACTGACAGCACTTTGCCAACGCTCATGAGCTCCGTGGCTCCTCAGGAGCGGGTGTGCTGTGCTGCCGAGGAACGGCTCGAACCATCAGAGCCACCAGCCTCCACGTGCGGCTCCATGATCACCCCCAGCAGAGGCTCCCGGGTGCTGGTTCCAAATGGAGACTCCAGGTCTTGCCGCTGACCGGTGACTCTGCTGCCAGCATTTGAGACCCGCCATCACACAGGAGTTGCAGATTCGGAGAAACCCTAACTAGCCAGGGTGCTGCCAGCTGGGAAAAGGCCGCCTTTTTTTTTTTTTTTTTTTTTTTGAGTTGGGGTCTTGCTCTGCCATCCAGGCTGGAGTGCAGTGGTGCAACTGATAGCTCACCACGGCCTCCAACTCATGGGCTCAAGGGATCCTCCCACCTCGGCCTCCTAAGTATCTGGGACTATAAGTGTGTGCCACCATGCCTGGCTAATTTTTTTTTTCTTTTTCATAAAGATGAATTCTTGCTATTTTGCCCAGGCTGGTCTGGAACTCCTGGGCTGAAGCAATTCTCCCACCTCAGCCTCCCAAAGTGCTGAGATTACAGGCGTGAGTCACAATGCCTAGCCAAAAAGCCAGTCTTGAGATGGGGAAGACGTGGCCCGTGCTGTCCCCAGCAGTGCCCAGTCCCAGCCAAAGTGGGCAGTGCTGCCTCACTCTCCCACCCACCCTCAGGGTGTGGCACTTACTGGGAAGAAGCAGGCATTGAGAAACAGAATTGAGGGGGGGAAACAGTCCAGGGCCAACAGTGCTTGGGGATTGAGGCCTGAAAATGCGAGCAGGGTACAGAGGCTGTGGCTGGCCAGATGGGTCGGGTGCCCCCTGCACTCCCACCCCCTAGTCAGGGGTCACCCATCCTACTTTGCCTTGTGTGGAGCTGACAGGTGACATGTTTTCCTATTGTTGTCCTTGACTTGATAACAATCTGGGAGTTAAACACATATGATCATCCCTGCTTTACAACTGAAAAACGAGGCCTAGAGATACTATCATCATATACACCTGAAAAACGAGGCCTGGAGCGATGGAGGAGCTTGTTCAAGGTCAGAGCCAGCACTCATATATGGGTCTTAAGACACTGGAGCAGCCAAGGGCCTCTAGACCAGGACATTCCACTCGGAGCAGCAGCTCAGGGGCCACCAGGCCTCTGTGGCAGGGGGACCTCTGTGGCAGGGGGGACCTCTGTGGCGGGGGGGGGGCCTCTGTGGCAGGGGGGTCACAGCCCAAGGAAGGGGAGCAGGCCCAGGCATGGTTTCCGTTTCTGGGAGCCAAGAGCCTTCTCAGAAGAGGGGGAGAGAGCTACTGCATGGAATCATTTGGGCCCTGGAGGCTGATGGGTACTTGGGGGAGCAATCCCTGGTGACCCCAACCAGCAAGACAAGTGCCCTGTGAAGGGGAAGGGACTACAGCTGATCAAAGGAGCAGGCACCAGTGGCCGGGCCTCCCGTCTGCCCCTCATCCTCCAGGCTCTGGCGGGAAGGAGCAGGAAGGGCTCCCTGCCCTTGGGGTTTTGATCAGTGAGGAGGGGGGCTTGGGTCTGAGTCTGGGTCTGGGTCTGCTGCCGAAACACTGCCCCCAGTCCCTCTCCTCACTAGACTCTGGGGTCTAGGCGTGTCTTTGTGGTCGGCCTTCTCCAAACCCTCTAGGCCTCTGTCTGCAGCTGCTGCTGCCTGGACCTATACACAAGGTCCCACCCCTCACCGGGGCCAAAGACGTGGTTGCAGGCCCTGGTGGATCCTTTCTGTTTTGCTCCATCCCCGTCCCCTCTTGCACCCAGCATCGTCCTGGTCAGAACTTCCGTTTAAACCTTCCTTGCCTGCCGTGCACTCCGAGGGGGGCGTCACTTTGCCATAGGCCCCAGGGCTGAAAATGGCGGGACATCCAGTATTGGGCTCACGTGCATAAGACTGTCCCAGACAGCAGCACAATCACGTTCAGCCAAGTGGAGTTTCCGACGCACTTGTGTGGCAGCCGCGTGAATGTGAGCCGATATGCAGCTGGGAGGGGTTGTGGGCCTCCTGCGGTGAGGGGCTCCTGCCAGGAGCTCTGAGAAGCCTCCACAGAATCAGCCGTCGGGCTCCTTCAGCAGCAGCTCCCCTTATCTGTGCCAACGACTGGGGGCCTAACTCAAGGGTGCCAGCCCGTCTTCCGCCAATACAGACTGTGGGATTCTGAGAGTTAGGAGCCTGGGGTCCCCTGGGGTGGGGTGGTCAGGGTGAGCAGGTGGGCTCTGTGAGCCTGTTTCCCCATGCCCTGACTCACCCCAATCCCTGGGTGAGGACAGAGCTCCTGAAGGCCACTGAAGGAGGTGCAGCACACTCCACCTGGGTGGCCTTCCGCAGCTCAGCCCTCTTCCTGCCAGCAGGAAGCCTCTGCCTGTGCTCCTTAAGTTAGCCATCCTCACCCCCTCCGGGCAGCTCTGAGACTGAGCCAGGGCCACTAGCAGCACCCAGACCTCGACCCTTCTCAGACCGAGGCGCCACCACCCCAGGCCGAGGAGGCAAGGAGGGAAGACCAAAGTCTAGAGGACTGTCTTGGTGGCCCTGGGCGAGTCTTGAACTTTGGTGCCATCATCTGCAAAAGGGAGGAAAGAATGCCTGCGTGGTGCAGCTACGTGGATACGCAGTGAAGACCCGCATGGTGGGACGCCTGGCACTTAACAATGGTAGCATTTGGCCGGGCGCGGTGGCTCACGCCTGTAATCCCAGCACTTTGGGAGGCCGAGGCGGGCGGATCACGAGGTCAGGAGATCAAGACCATCCCGGCTAAAACGGTGAAACCCCGTCTCTACTAAAAATACAAAAAATTAGCCGGGCGTAGTGGCGGGCGCCTGTAGTCCCAGCTACTTGGGAGGCTGAGGCAGGAGAATGGTGTGAACCCGGGAGGCGGAGCTTGCAGTGAGCCGAGATCCCGCCACTGCACTCCAGCCTGGGCGACAGAGCGAGACTCCGTCTCAAAAAAAAAAAAAAAAACAATGGTAGCATCGTTTTCAGTGCCCAGGAAGAAGGCAGCTGGGACAGGGAAAGGGCCACCACACCACACCCAAGCCCATACAACAGGAGAGCCACTTTCAGCAGCTCTGAGCAGGACAGACTTGTGGCCAAGTCAAGAAAGTAAGGTCTGGTCCCAGCGAGGTGGCTCATCCCTGTAATCCCAGTGCTTTGGGAGGCCGAAGCGGGGGCGGGGTGGATCACTTGAGGTCAGGGGTTTGAGACCAGCCTGACCAACATGGTGAAACCTCAACTCTACTAAAAATACAAAAATTAGGGCCGGGCGCAGTGGCTCACGCCTGTAATCCCAGCACTTTGGGAGGCTGAGGCGGGCGGATCACAAGGTCAGGAGATCGAGACCAACGTGGCTAACACAGTGAAACCCCATCTCTACTAAAAATACGAAAAAAAAAAATTAGCTGGGCGTGGTGGTGGGTACCTGTAGTCCCAGCTACTTGGGAGGCTGAGGCAGGAGAATGGCATGAACCCGGGAGGTG